>NT_187515.1:0-263356 GCF_000001405.40 Homo sapiens | reverse complement strand
GAATTCTGTTCCAGGCTGTCGGATGCTCACCTGGAGGTGAGGATGCCATTCCATGCGGTCAGATGCTCACCTGGGGGTGTGGGTGCTGCTCCAGGCTGTCGGATGCTCACCTGGAAGTGAGGATGACATTCCATGCGGTCAGATACTCCCCTGGGGGTGTGGGTGCTGCTCCAGGCTGTCAGATGCTCACCTGGGGGTGTGGGTGCTGCTCCAGGCTGTCAGATGCTCGCCTGGGGGTGTGGGTGCGGTTCCAGGCTGTCAGATGCTCACCTGGAGGTGAGGATGCCATTCAATGTGGTCAGATGCTCACCTGGGGGAGTGGATGCTGTTCCAGGCTGTCAGATGCTCACCTGGGGGTGTGGGTGCTACTCCAGGCTGTCAGATACTCACCTGGGAGTGTGGGTGCTGCTCCAGGCTGTCAGATGCTCACCTGGGGGTGTGGGCGCTGCTCCAGGCTGTAAGATGCTCACCTGGGGGTGTGGGCGCTGCTCCAGGCTGTCAGATGCTCACCTGGGGGTGTGGGTGTTGCTCCAGGCTGTCAGATTCTCGCCAGCGGGTGTGGGTGCTGTTCCAGGCTGTCATATGCTCATCTGCCAGTAGGGGTGCTGTTTTATGCTGCCAGATGCCCACCTCGGGGTGAGGGTGCTGTTCTAGGTTGTCAGATGCTCCCCTGGGGGTGAGAGTGCTGTTCCTTGCTTTCAGATGCTTACTGGGAGGCCTGGGGTTCTGTTCCAGGCTATCAGATGTTCACCTGGAAGCAGTGGGGGGGTTTCCAGGCTGTCAGATGCTCACGTGTGGGTAGAGGGTGCTTTCCCAGGCTGTCAAATGCCCACCTGGGGGCAGTAGTCTTGTTCCATGCTGTCAGATTTTTGCCTGGGTGCGGGGTGCTGTTTCAGGCTGTCATATTCTCACCTGAAGGTGGAGGGTGCTGTTTCAGGCTGTCAGATGCTCACCTGGGGGTGCAGGGTGCTGTTTTATGCTGTCAGATTCTCACCTGGAAGAGTGGGGTTCTGTTCCAGGTTGTCAGATCCTCACCTGGGGCTTGAGAATTCTGTTCCAGGCTGTCCGATGCTCACCTGGAGGTGAGGATGACATTCCATGTGGTCACATGCTCACCTGGGGGTGTGGGTGCTGCTTCAGGCTGTCAGATGGTCACCTGGGGCTGTAGATGCTGTTCCAGGTTGCCAGATGCTCACCTGGGGGTGTGGGTGCTGACCCAGGCTGTCAGATCTCACCTGGGGGTATGGGTGCAGCTCCAGGATGTCAGCTACTCAACTGGGGGTGTGGGTGCTGCTCCAGGCTGTCAGATGCTAACCTGGGATTGTGGGCGCCTGCTCCAGGCTGTCAGATGCCCACCTGGGGGTGTGGGCGCTGCTCCACGCTGTCAGATGCTCACCTGGGGGTGTGGGCGCTGCTCCAGGCTGTCAGATGCTCACCTCGGTGTGTGGGCGCTGCTCCAGGCTGTCAGATGCTCACCTGGGGGTGTGGGTGCTGCTCCAGGCAGTCAGATGCTCACCTGGGGGTGTGGGTGCTGCTCCAGGCTGCCAGATGCTCACCTGGGGGTGTGGACGCTGCTCCGGGCTGTCAGATGCTCACCTGGGGCTGTGGGCGCCGCCCCAGGCTGTCAGATGCTCACCTGGGGGTGTGGGTGCTGCTCCCGGCTGTCAGATGCTCGCCCGGGGGTGTGGGCGCTGCTCCAGGCTGTCACATGCTCACCTGGGGGTGTGGGCGCTGCTCCAGGCTGTCAGATGCTCGCCTAAGGTTGTGTGTGCTGCTCCAGGCTGTCAGATGCTCGCCTGGGGGTGTGGGTGCTGTTCCAGGCTGTCATATGCTCATCTGCCAGTAGGGGTGCTGTTTTATGCTGCCAGATGCCCACCTCGGGGTGAAGGTGCTGTTCTAGGTTGTCAGACGCTCCCCTGGGGTCGAGAGTGCTGTTCCGTGCTTTCAGATGCTTACTTGGAGGCCTGGGGTTCTGTTCCAGGCTATCAGATGTTCATCTGGAAGCAGTGGGGTGTTTCCAGGCTGTCAGATGCTCACGTGTGGGTGGAGGGTGCTTTCCCAGGTTGTCAAATGCTCACCTGGGAGCAGTGGTCTTGTTCCATGCTGTCAGATTTTTGCCTGGGGTGTGGGGTGCTGTTTCAGGCTGTCATATTCTCACCTGAAGGTGAAGGGTGCTGTTTCAGGCTGTCAGATGCTCACCTGGGGGTGCAGGGTGCTGTTTTAATGTTGTCAGATTCTCACCTGGAAGAGTGGGGTTCTGTTCCAGGTTGTCAGATCCTCACCTGGGGTTTGAGAATTCTGTTCCAGGCTGTCGGATGCTCACCTGGGGGTGTAGGTGCTGCTCCAGGCTGTCGGATGCTCGCCTAGGGGTGTGGGTGCTGCTCCAGGCTGTCAGATACTCACCTGGGGTTGTGGGCGCTGCTCCAGGCTGTCGGATGCTCACCTGCGGGAGTGGGTGCTGCCCCAGACTGTCGGATGCTCACCTGGGGGTGTGGGTGCTGCTCCAGGCTATCGCATCCTCGCCTGGGCGTGTGGGTGCTGCTCCAGGCTGTCAGATGCTCACCCTGGGGGGGTCGGCGCTGCTCCAGGCTGTCGGATGCTCACCTGGGGGAGTATGTGATGCTCCAGGATGTCCGATGCTCACCTGGGGTGAGGATGCTGCTCCAGGCTCTCGGATGCTCACCTGGGACTGTGGGTGCTGCTCCAGGTGGTCATATGCTCACCTCTGGGTGTGGGCGCTGCTCCAGGCTATCAGATGCTCACCTGGGGGTGTGGACGCTGCTCCAGGCTGTCAGATGCTCACCTTGGGGTGTGAGCATTTCTCCAGGCTGTCAGATGCTTACCTGGGTGTGTGGGAGCTGCTCCAGGCTGTCAGATGCTCAACTGCGGGTATGGGTGCTGCTCCAGGCTGTCAGATGCTCATCTAGGGGTGTGGGCGCTGCTCCAGGCTGTCGGATGCTCACCTGGGGGAGTATGTGATGCTCGAGGATGTCCGATGCTCACCTGGGGTGTGGGTGCTGCTCCAGGCTGTCGGATGCTCAAATGGGGGTGTGGGTGCTGCTCCAGGCTGTCAGATGCTCACCTGGAGGTGTGGGCGCTGCTCCAGGCTGTCAGATGCTCACCTTGGGGTTTGGGCGCTTCACCAGGCTGTCAGATGCTGACCTGGGTGTGTGGGTGCTGCTCCAGGCTGTCAGATGCTCACCTGGGGGTGTGGGTGCTGCTCCAGGCTGTCAGATGCTCACCTGGGGATGTGGGTGGTGTTCCAGGCTGTCAGATTCTCGCCTGGGTGTGTGGGTGCTGCTCCAGGCTGTCAGATGCTCGCCTGTGGGTGCGGGGTGATGTTCCAGGCTGTCAGATACTCACCTTGGGGTGTGGGGTGCTGTTCCAGGCTGTCAGATGCTCACCTGCGGGTGTGCGGTGCTGTTCCAGGCTGTCAGATGCTCGCCTGGAGTTGTGGCTGCTGCTCCATGCGGTCAGATGCTCGCCTGGGGGTGTGGGTGCTGCTCCATGACTTCAGATGCTCGCCTTGGGGTATGGGTGCTGCTCCGGGCGGTCAGATGCTCACCTGGGGGTGTGGGTGCTGCTCCAGGTTGTCAGATGCTCACCTTGGGCTGTGGGTGCTGCTCCACACTATCAGATGCTAACCTGGGGGTGTGGGCACTGCTCCAGGCTGTCAGATGCTCACTTGGGTGTGTGGGCGCTGCTCCGGACTCTCCGATGCTCACCTGTGGTTGTGGGTGCTTCTCCAGACCATCAGATGCTCACCTGGTGGTGTGGGTGCCTTTCCAGGCTGTCAGATGCTCACCTGGGGGGGCAGGGTGATGTTCCAGGCTGTCAGATGCTCACCTGAGGGTGCAGGATACTACTCCAGGCTGTCAGATGCTCACCTGGGGGTGTGGGTGCTGCTCCAGGATGTCAGATGCTCGCCTGGGAGTGTGGGTACTGTTGCAGGCTGTGAGATGCTCACCTGTGGGTGTGGGGTGCTGCTCCACGATGTCGGATGTTCACCTGGGGGTGTGGGTCCTGCTCCAGGCTGTCGGATGCAAGCCTGGGGTTGTTGGTGCTGCTCCAGGCTGTCGAATGCTCACCTGGGGGTGTGGGTGCTGTTCCAGGCTGGCGGATGCTGGCCTGGCGGTGTGGGTGCTGTTCCAGGCTGTCCGATGCTCGTCTGGGAGTGTGGGTGCTGTTCCAGGCTGTCAGATGCTCATCTGGGGGTGTGGGTGCTGCTCCAGGCTGCCCGATGCTCACCTGGGGGTGTGGGGTGCTGCTTCAGGCTGTCAGATGCTCGCCTGGGAGTGTGGGTGCTGATCCAGGCTGTCACATGCCCACCTGGGGGTGTGGGTGCTGCTCCAGGCTGTCGGATACTCACCTGGGTGTGTGGGGTGCTGCTCCAGGCTGTCCGATGCTCGCCTGTGGGTGTGGGTGCTGTTCCAGGACGTCAGATGCTCGCCTGGGGGTGTGGGTGCTGTTCCAGGCTGTCACGTGCGCACCGGGGGTGCAGGGTTCTGTTTCAGGCTGTCAGATGCTTACCTGGGGGTGTGGGTGCTGTTACATGCTGTCAGATGCTCGCCTGGGGGTGTGGGTGCTGTTCTAGGCTGTCAGAGGCTCACCTGAGCGTGTGGGTGCTGTTCCAGTCTGTCAGATGCTCACCTGGGGGTGTGGGTTCTGCTCCAGGCTGTCGGATGTTCACCTGGGGGTGTGGGTGCTGTTCCAGGCTGTCAGATGCTCAACTGGCGGTGTGCGTGCTGCTCCAGCCCGTCAGAGGCTAACCTGGAGGTGTGGGTGCTGTTCCAGGATATAAGATGCTCACCTGGGGGTGTGGGTGATGTTCCAGGCGGTCAGCTGCTCACCTGGGGGTGTGGGTGCTGTTCCAGGTTGTCAGATGCTCACCTGTTGGTGTGGGTGCTGCTTCAGGCTGTCAGATGCTCACCTGGAGTGTGGGTGCTGCTCCAGGCTGTCTGATCCTCACCCGGGGGTGCAGGGTGCTGTTCCAGGCTGTCAGATGCTCGCCTGGGGGTGTGGTTGCTCTTCCAGGCTGTCAGATGCTCACCTGGGGGTGTGGGTGCTGCTCCAGGCTGTCGGATGCTCACCTGGAGGTGAGGATGCCATTCCATGCGGTCAGATGCTCACCTGGGGGTATGGGTGCTGCTCCAGGCTGTCGGATGCTCACCTGGGGTTGTGGGAGCTGTTTCAGGATGTCGGATGCTCACCTGGGGGTGTGGGTGCGGTTCCAGGCCATCAGATGCTCGCCTGGGTGTGTGGGTGCTGTTCCAGGCTGTCATGTGCGCACCTGGGGGTGCAGGGAGCTGTTCCAGGCTGTCAGATGCTCATCTGGGCGTATGGGTGCTGTTCCAGGCTGTCAGATGCTCTCCTTGGGGTGCAGGGTGCTGTTCCACGCTGTCAGATGCTCATCTGGGCGTATGGGTGCTGTTCCAGGTTGTCAGATGCTCGCCTGGGGGTGTGTGTGCTGTTCCAGGGTGTCAGATGCTCGCCTGGGGGTGTGTGTGCTGTTCCAGGGTGTCACTTGCTCACCTGGGGGTGCAGGGTGCTGTTCCAGGCTGTCAGATGCTCACCTGGGGATGTGGGTGCTGCTCCAGGATGTCAGATGCTCACCTGGGTGTGTGGGTGCTGTTCCACGCTGTCACGTGCGCACCTGGGGGTGCAGGGTGCTGTTCCAGGCTGTCAGATGCTCACCTGGGGGTGTGGGTGCTGTTACATGCTGTCAGATGCTCGCCTGGGGGTGTGGGTGCTGTTCCAGGCGGTCAGATCCTCACCTGGGGGTGTGCGCGCTGTTCCAGGCTGTCAGATGCTCTCCTGGGGGTGCAGGGTGCTGTTCCAGGCTGTCAGAGGCTCACCTGTGGTTGTGGGTGCTGCTCCAGACCATCAGATGCGCATCTGGGGGTGTGGGTGCTGCTCCAGGCTGTCGGATGCTCGCCGGAAGGTGTGGGTGCTGCTCCGTGGGTTCAGATGCTCGCCTGTGGGTGTGGGTACTGTTACAGGCTGTCAGATGCTCACCTATGGGTGTGGGGTGCTGCTCCACGATGTCGGATGTTCACCTAGGGGTGTGGGTCCTGCTCCAGGCTGTCGGATGCTCACCTGGGGGTGTGGGTGCTGTTCCAGGCTGGCGGATGCTCGCCTGGCGATGTGGGTGCTGCTCCAGGCTGTCCTATGCTCGTCTGGGAGTGTGGGTGCTGTTCCAGGCTGTCAGATGCTCACCTGGGGGTGTGGGTGCTGATCCAGGCTGTCCGATGCTCACCTGGGGGTGTGGGGTGCTGCTCCAGGCTGTCAGATGCTCGCCTGGGAGTGTGGGTGCAGATCCAGGCTGTCACATGCTCACCTGGGGGTGTGGGTGCTGCTCCAGGCTGTCGGATGCTCCCCTGGGGGTGTAGGGTGCTGCTCCAGGCTGTCCGATCCTCGCCTGGGGGTGTGGGTGCTGTTCCAGGCTGTCACGTGCACACCTGGGGGTGCAGGGTGCTGTTCCAGGCTGTCAGATGCTTACCTGGGGGTGTGGGTGCTGTTACATGCAGTCAGATGCTCTCCTGGGGGTGTGGGTGTTGTTCCAGGCTGTCACGTGCACACCTGGGGGTGCAGGGTGCTGTTCCAGGCTGTCAGATGCTTACCTGGGGGTGTGGGTGCTGTTACATGCAGTCAGATGCTCGCCTGGGGGTGTGGGTCCTGTTCCAGGCTGTCAGATGCTCACCTGGGGGTGCGCGTGCTGTTCCAGGCTGTCAGAGGCTCACCTGGGCGTGTGGGTGCTGTTCCAGTCTGTCAGATGCTCACCTGGGGGTGTGGGTTCTGTTCCAGGCTATCAGATGCTCAACTGTGGGTGTGGGTACTGCTCCAGACCATCAGATGCTCACCTGGAGGTGTGGGTGCCGACCCAGGCTGTCAGATGCTCGCCTCGGGGTGTGGGTTCTGCTCCAGGCTGTCGGATGTTCACCTGGGGGTGTGGATGCTGTTCCAGGCTGTCAGATGCTCAACTGGGGGTGTGCGTGCTGCTCCAGCCTGTCAGATGCTCACCTGGGGGTGTGGGTGCTGTTCCAGGATTTCAGCTGCTCACCTGGGGGTGTGGGTGCTGTTCCAGGCTGTCAGATGCTCACCTGGGGGTGTGGGTGCTGTTCCAGGCGGTCAGATGCTCACCTGTTGGTGTGGGTGCTGCTTCAGGCTGTCAGATGCTCACCTGGAGTGTGGGTGCTGCTCCAGGCTGTCTGATCCTCACCCTGGGGTGCAGGATGCTGTTCCAGGCTGTCAGATACTCGCCTGGGGGTGTGGTTGCTCTTCCAGGCTGTCAGATGCTCACCTGGGGGTGTGGGTGCTACTCCAGGCTGTCGGATGCTCACCTGGAGGTGAGGATGCCATTCCATGCGATCAGATGCTCACCTGGGGGTATGGGTGCTGCTCCAGGCTGTCGGATGCTCACCTGGGGGTGTGGGAGCTGTTTCAGGATGTCGGATGCTCACCTGGGCGTCTGGGTGCAGTTCCAGGCCATCAGATGCTCGCCTGGGTGTGTGGGTGCTGTTGCAGGCTGTCAGGTGCGCACCTGGGGGTGCAGGGACCTATTCCAGGCTGTCAGATGCTCATCTGGGCGTATGGGTGCTGTTCCATGCTGTCAGATGCTCTCCTGGGGGTGCAGGGTGCTGTTCCACGCTGTCAGATGCTCATCTTGGCGTATGGGTGCTGTTCCAGGTTGTCAGATGCTCGCCTGGGGGTGTGTGTGCTGTTTCAGTGTGTCAGATGCTCACCTGGGGGTGCAGGGTGCTGTTCCAGGCTGTCAGATCCTCACCTGGGGGTGCAGGGTGCTGCTCCAGGCTGTCAGATGCTCACCTGGGGGTGTGGGTGCTGCTCAAGGATGTCAGGTGCTCGCGTGAGTGTGTGGGTGCTGTTCCAGGCTGTCGGATGCTCACCTGTGGTTGTGGGTGCTGCTCCAGACCATCAGATGCTCACCTGGGGGTGTGGGTGTCGTTCCAGGCTGTCAGATGCTCGCCTGGGTGTGTGGGTGCTGCTCCAGGCTGTCGGATGCTCACCTGTGGGTTTGGGGTGCTGCTCCACGATGTCAGATGCTCACCTGTGGTTGTGGGTGCTGCTCCAGGGTGTCCAATGGTCACCTGGCGGTGTGTGTGCTGTTCCAGGCCGTCAGATGCTCGCCGGGAGGTGTGGGTGCTGCTCCGTGGTTTCAGATGCTCGCCTGTGGGTGTGGGTACTGTTCCAGGCTGTCAGATGCTCACCTGTGGGTGTGGGGTGCTACTCCACGATGTCGGATGTTCACCTGGGGGTGTGGGTCCTGCTCCAGGCTGTCGGATGCACGCCTGGGGTTGTGGGTGCTGCTCCAGGCTGTCGAATGCTCACCTGGGGGTGTGGGTGCTTTTCCAGGCTGGCGGATGCTCGCCTGGCAGTGTGGGTGCTGCTCCAGGCTGTCCGATGCTCGTCTGGGAGTGTGGGTGCTGTTCCAGGCTGTCAGATGCTCATCAGGGGGTGTGGGTGCTGCTCCAGGCTGTCCGATGCTCACCTGGGGGTGTGGGGTGCTGCTCCAGGCTGTCAGATGCTCGCCTGGGGGTGTGGGTGCTGATCCAGGCTGTCACATGCTCACCTGGGGGTGTGGGTGCCGTTCCAGGCCGTCAGATGCTCGCCTGGGGGTGTGTGTGCTGTTCCAGGCTGTCACGTGCGCACCTGGGGGTGCAGGGTGCTGTTCCAGGCTGTCAGATGCTCACCTGGGTGTGTGGGTGCTGTTACGTGCTGTGAGATGCTCGCCTGGGGGTGTGGGTGCTGTTCCAGGCGGTCAGATGCTCACCTGGGTGTGTGCGTGCTGTTCCAGGCTGTCAGATGCTCCCCTGGGGGTGCAGGGTGCTGTTCGAGGCTGTCACAGGCTCAGCTGGGCATGTGGGTGCTGTTCCAGTCTGTCAGATGCTCACCTGGGGGTGTGGGTTCTGTTCCAGGCTGTCAGATGCTCACCTGTGGGTGTGGGTGCTGCTCCAGACCATCACATGCGCACCTGGGGGTGTGGGTGCTGCTCCAGGCTGTCGGATGCTCGCCTGGAGGTGTGGGTGCTGCTCCTTGCGTTCAGATGCTTGCCTGGGGGTGTGGGTGCTCCTCCACGCTGTCAGATGCTCACCTGGGGGTGTGGGCACTGCTCCAGGCTGTCAGATGCTCGCCTGGGGGTGTGGGCGCTGCTCCAGACTCTCCGATGTTCACCTGTGGTTATGCGTGCTGCTCCAGACCATCAGATGCTCACCTGGGGGTGTGGGTGCCGTTCCAGGCTGTCAGATGCTCGCCTGGGGGTGTGGGTGCTTCTCCAGGCTGTCGGATGCTCACTTGGGGGTGCAGGGTGCTGTTCCAGGCTGTCAGATGCTCACCTGGGGGTGTGGGTGCTGATACATGCAGTCAGATGCTCGCCTGTGGGTGTGGGTGCTGTTCCCGGCTGTCACATGCTCACCTGGGGGTGTGCGTGCTGTTCCAGGCTGTCAGAGGCTCACCTGGGCATGGGGGTGCAGTTCCAGTCTGTCAGATGCTCACCTGGGGGTGTGGGTTCTGTTCCAGGCTGTCAGATGCTCACCTGTGGGTGTGGGTTCTGCTCCAGACCATCAGATGCGCACCTGGGGGTGTGGGTGCGGACCCAGGCTGTCAGATGCTCGCCTGGGGGTGTGGGTTCTGCTCCAGGCTGTCAGATGCTCACCTGAGGGTGTGGGTGCTGCTCCAGGCTGTCGGATGCTCGCCTGGGGTTGTGGGTGCTGCTCTGTGCGTACAGATACTCGCCTGGGAGTGTGGGTGCTGCTCCAGGTTGTCAGATGCTCACCTTGGTCTGTGGGTGCTGCTCCATGGTGTCAGATGCTCACCTGGGGGTGTGGGCACTGCTCCAGGCTGTCAGATGCTCGCCCTGCAGTGTGGGCGCTGCTCCAGACTCTCCGATGCTCACCTGTGGTTGTGGGTGATGCTCCAGACCATCAGATGCTCACCTAGGGGTGTGGGTGCCGTTCCAGGCTGTCAGATGCTCGCTTGTGGGTGTGTGTGCTGCTCCAGGCTGTGGGATGCTCACCTGGGGGTGCAGGGTGCTGTTCCAGGCTCTCAGATGCTCACCTGGGGTGTGGGTGCTGCTCCAGGCTGTCAGAAGCTCACCTGTGGGTGTGGGGTGCTGCTCCACGATGTCAGATGCTCACCTGGGGGTGTGGGTGCTGTTCCAGGCAGTCAGATGCTCACATGGGGGTGTGGGTGCTGTTCCAGGCCGTCCGATGCTCGCCTGGGGGTGTGGGTGCTGATCCAAGCTGTCACGTGCACACCTGGGGGTGCAGGCTGCTGTTCCAGGCTGTCAGATGCTCACCTGGGGGTGTGGGTGCTGCTCCAGGCAGTCAGATGCTCACCTGGGGGTGTGGGTGCTGCTCCAGGCTGCCAGATGCTCACCTGGGGGTGTGGACGCTGCTCCAGGCTGTCAGATGCTCACCTCGGTGTGTGGGCGCTGCTCCAGGCTGTCAGATGCTCACTGGGGGTGTGCCTGCTGCTCCAGGCTGTCAGATGCTCACCTGAGGGTGTGGGTGCTGCTCCAGGCTGTCGGATGCTCGCCTGGGGATGTGGGTGCTGCTCCAGGGTGTCCAATGCTCACCTGGCGGTGTGTGTGCTGTTCCAGGCCGTCAGATGCTCGCCTGGGGTTGTGGGTGCCGACCCAGGCTGTCAGATGCTCGCCTGGGGGTGTGGGTTCTGCTCCAGGCTGTCGGATGTTCACCTGGGGGTGTGGGTGCTGTTCCAGGCTGTCAGATGCTCACCTGGGGGTGTGGGTGCTGATACATGCTGTCAGATGCTCGCCTGGGGGTGTGGGAGCTGTTCCAGTCTGTCAGATGCTCACCTGGGGTTGTGCGTGGTGTTCCAGACTGTCAGATGCTCACCTGGGTGTGCAGGTTGCTGCTCCTGGCTGTCGGATGCTCACCTCTGGGTGTGGGGGCTGCTCCAGACCATCACATGCACACCTGGGGGTGTGGGTGCTGCTCCAGGCTGTCGGATGCTCGCCTGGGGGTGTGGGTGCTGCTATTTGCGTTCAGATGCTTGCCTGGGAATGTGGGTGCTGCTCCAGGCTGTCCAATGCTCACCTGGGGATGTGGGTGCTGTTGCAGGCCGTCAGATGCTCACCTGGGGGTGTCGGTGCTGTTCCAGGCTGTCACGTGCGCACCTGGGGGTGCAGGGTGCTGTTCCAGGCTGTCAGGGTCTCACCTGGGCATGTGGGTGCTGTTCCAGTCTGTCAGATGCTCACCTGGGGGTGTGGGTTCTGTTCCAGACTCTCCGATGCTCACCTGTGGTTTTGGGTGCTGCTCCAGACCATCAGATGCTCACATGGGGGTGTGGGTGCTGCTCCAGGTTGTCAGATGCTCGCCTGCAGGTGTGGGTGCTGCTCCAGGCTGTCGCATGCTCACCTGGGTGTGCAGTTTGCTGTTCCAGGCTGTCAGATGCTCACCTGGGGGTGTGGGTGCTGCTCCAGGCTGTCGGATGCTCGCCTGGGGTTGTGGGTGCTGCTCCAGGCTGTCGGATTCTCACCTGGGGGTGTGGGTGCTGTTGCAGGCTGTCAGATGCTCACCTGGGCGTGTGGGTGCTGTTCCAGGCCGTCAGATGCTCACCTGGGGAAGCAGGGTGCTGTTCCAGTCTGTCAGATACTCCCCTGGCGGTGTGGGTTCTGTTCCAGGCTGTCAGATGCTCACCTGAAGGTGTGGGTGCTGCTCCAAAGCATCAGATGCTCACCTGGGTTTGTGGGTGCTGACCGAGGCTGTCAGATGCTCGCCTGTTGGTGTGGGTTCCGCTCCAGGCTGCCGGATGCTCTCCTAGGGGTGTGGGTGCTGTTCCAGTCTGTCAGATGCTCACCTGGAGGTGTGGGTTCTGTTCCAGGCTGTCAGATGCTCACCTGGGGGTGTGGGTGCTGCTCCAGGCTGTCAGATGCTCACCTGGAGGTGTGGGTTCTGTTCCAGGCTGTCAGATGCTCACCTGGGGGTGTGGGTGCTGCTCCAGGCTGTCAGATGCTCGCATGGTGGTGTGGTTGCTGTTCCAGGCTGTCAGATGCTCACCTGAGGGTGTGGGTGCTGCTCCAGGCTATCGCATGCTCACCCGGGGATGTGGGGTGCTCTTCCAGGCTGTCAGATTCTCACCTGGGGGTGTGGGTGCTGTTCCAGCCTCTCAGATGCTCACCTGGGGTTGTCAGTGTTGCTCCAGGATGTCAGATGCTCCCCTGGGGGTGTGGGTGCTGCTCCATGCGGTCAGATGCTCCCCTGGGGGTGTGGGTGCTGCTCCGGGCTGTCAGATTCTCATCTGTGCGTGCGGGTGATGCTGCGGGCTTTCAGATGCTCACCTGTGGTTGTGGGTGCTGTTCCAGGCTGTCAGATGCTCGCCTGGGGTTCTGGGTTCTGCTCCGTTGGGTCAGATGCTCGCCTGGGGGTGTGGGTGCTGCTCCATGAGTTCAGATGCTCGCCTGGGGGTATGGGTGCTGCTCTGGGAGGTCAAATGCTCACCTGGAGGTGTGGGTGCTGCTCCAGGCTGTCGGATGCTCACCTGGGTGTGCAGGGTGCTGTTCCAGGCTGTCAGATCCTCACCTGGGGTGTGGGTGCTGCTCCAGGCTGTCAGATGCTCACCTGTGGGTGTGGGGTGCTGCTCCACGATGTCAGATGCTCACCTTGGGGTGTGGGTGCTGTTCCAGGCAGTCAGATACTCACCTGGGGGTGTGGGTGCTGTTCCAGGCCGTCAGATGCTCGCCTGGCGGTGTGGGTGCTGTTCCAGGCTATCACATGCGCACCTGGGGGTGCAGGCTGCTGTTCCAGGCTGTCAGATGCTCACCTGGGGGTGTGGGTGCTGTTACATGCTGTCAGATGCTCGCCTGGGGGTGCGGGGTGCTGTTCCAAGCTGTGAGATGCTCACCTGGGGGTTTGCGTGCTGTTCCAGGCTGTCAGATGCTCACCTGGGGGTGCAGGGTGCTGTTCCAGGCTGTCAGAGGCTCACCTGGGCATGTGGGTGCTGTTCCAGTCTGTCAGATGCTCACCTGAGGGTGGGGTTTCTGTTCCAGGCTGTCAGATGCTCACCTGTGGGTGTGGGTGCTGCTCCAGACCATCACATGCGCACCTGGGGGTGTGGCTGCTGCTCCAGGCTGTCGGATGCTCGCCTTGGGGTGTGGGTGCTGCTCCGTGAGTTCAGATGCTCGCCTGGGGGTATGGGTGCTGCTCCAGGTTGTCAGATGCTCACCTTGGGCTATGGGTTCTGAACCATGCTGTCAGATGCTCACCTGGGGCTCTGGGCACTGCTCCAGGCTGTCAGATGCTCGCCTGGGGGTGTGGGCGCTGCTCCAGACTCTCCGATGCTCACCTGGAGGTGAGGATGCCATTCCATGCGGTCAGATGCTCACCTGGGGGTATGGGTGCTGCTCCAGGCTGTCGGATGCTCACCAGGGGGTGTGGGAGCTGTTTCAGGATGTGGGATGCTCACCTGGGGGTGTGGGAGCTGTTTCAGGATGTCGGATGCTCACCTCGGTCTGTGGGTGCGTTTCCAGGCCGTCAGATGCTCGCCTGGGTGTGTGGGTGCTGTTCCAGGCTGTCATGTGCGCACCTGAGGGTGCAGGGAGCTGTTCCAGGCTGTCAGATGCTCATCTGGGCGTATGGGTGCTGTTCCAGGCTGTCAGATGCTCTCCTGGGGGTGCAGGGTGCTGTTCCACGCTGTCAGATGCTCATCTGGGCGTATGGGTGCTGTTCCAGGTTGTCAGATGCTCGCCTGGGGGTGTGTGTGCAGTTCCAGGGTGTCAGATGCTCGCCTGGGGGTGTGTGTGCTGTTCCAGGGTGTCCGATGCTCACCTGGGGGTGCAGGGTGCTGTTCCAGGCTGTCAGATGCTCACCTGGGGATGTGGGTGCTGCTCCAGGCTGTCAGATGCTCACCTGGGTGTGTGGGTGCTGTTCCACGCTGTCACGTGCGCACCTGGGGGTGCAGGGTGCTGTTCCAGGCTGTCAGATGCTCACCTGGGGGTATGGGTGCTGTTACATGCTGTCAGATGCTCGCCTGGGGATGTGGGTGCTGTTCCAGGCGGTCAGATCCTCACCTGGGGGTGTGCCCGCTGTTCCAGGCTGTCAGATGCTCTCCTGGGGGTGCAGGGTGCTGTTCCAGGCTGTCAGAGGCTCACCTGTGGTTGTGGGTGCTACTCCAGACCATCAGATGCGCACCTGGGGGTGTGGGTGCTGCTCCAGGCTGTCGGATGCGCGCCGGAAGGTGTGGGTGCTGCTCCGTGGGTTCAGGTGCTCGCCTGTGGGTGTGGGTACTGTTACAGGCTGTCAGATGCTCACCTGTGGGTGTGGGGTGCTGCTCCACAATGTCGGATGTTCACCTAGGGGTGTGGGTCCTGCTCCAGGCTGTCGGATGCTCACCTGGGGGTGTGGGTGCTGTTCCAGGCTGTCAGATGCTCACCTGGGCGTGTGGGTGCTGCTCCAGGCTGTCCGATGCTCACCTGGGGGTGTGGGGTTCTGCTCCAGGCTGTCAGATGCTCGCCTGGGAGTGTGGGTGCTGATCCAGGCTGTCACATGCTCCCCTGGGGGTGTGGGTGCTGCTCCAGGCTGTCGGATGCTCCCCTGGGGGTGTGGGGTGCTGCTCCAGGCTGTCCGATGCTCGCCTGGGGGTGTGGGTGCCCTTCCAGGCCGTCAGATGCTCGCCTGGGGGTGTGGGTGCTGTTCCAGGCTGTCACGTGCGCACCTGGGGGTGCAGGGTGCTGTTCCAGGCTGTCAGATGCTTACCTGGGGGTGTGGGTGCTGTTACATGCAGTCAGATGCTCGCCTGGGGGTGTGGGTCCTGTTCCAGGCTGTCAGATGCTCTCCTGGGGGTGCGCGTGCTGTTCCAGGCTGTCAGAGGCTCACCTGGGCGTGTGGGTGCTGTTCCAGTCTGTCAGATGCTCACCTGGGGATGTGGGTTCTGTTCCAGGCTGTCAGATGCTCAACTGTGGGTGTGGGTAATGCTCCAGACCATCAGATGCTCACCTGGAGGTGTGGGTGCCGACCCAGGCTGTCAGATGCTCGCCTCAGGGTGTGGGTTCTGCTCCAGGCTGTCGGATGTT
Organism: Homo sapiens; assembly: GCF_000001405.40. Classification (NCBI taxonomy): domain Eukaryota; kingdom Metazoa; phylum Chordata; class Mammalia; order Primates; family Hominidae; genus Homo; species Homo sapiens. Next base: position 248,310 of record NT_187515.1, on the reverse strand, counting down.
CACCTGGGGGTGTGGGTGCTGTTCCCGGCTGTCAGATGCTCAACTGGGGGTGTGCGTGCTGCTCCAGCCTGTCAGATGCTCACCTGGGGGTGTGGGTGCTGTTCCAGGATATCAGCTGCTCACCTGGGGGTGTGGGTGCTGTTCCAGGCTGTCAGATCGTCACCTGGCGGTGCAGCGTGCTGCTCCATGCTGTCAGATGCTCACCTGGGGGTGTGGGTGCTGCTCAAGGATGTCAGATGCTCGCCTGAGTGTGTGGGTGCTGTTCCAGGCTGTCGGATGCTCACCTGTGGTTGTGGGTGCTGCTCCAGACCATCAGATGCTCACCTGGGGGTGTGGGTGCCGTTCCAGGCTGTCAGATGCTCGCCTGGGGGTGGGGGTGCTGCTCCAGGCTGTCGGATGCTCACCTGTGGGTTTGGGGTGCTGTTCCACGATGTCAGATGCTCACCTGTGGTTGTGGGTGCTGCTCCAGACCATCAGATGCGCACCTGGGGGTGTGGGTGCTGCTCCAGGCTGTCGGATGCTCGCCGGGAGGTGTGGGTGCTGCTCCGTGGGTTCAGATGCTCGCCTGTGTGTGTGGGTACTGTTCCAGGCTGTCAGATGCTCACCTGTGGGTGTGGGGTGCTACTCCACGATGTCGGATGTTCACCTGGGGGTGTGGGTCCTGCTCCAGGCTGTCGGATGCACGCCTGGGGTTGTGGGTGCTGCTCCAGGCTGTCGAATGCTCACCTGGGGGTGTGGGTGCTTTTCCAGGCTGGCGGATGCTCGCCTGGCAGTGTGGGTGCTGCTCCAGGCTGTCCGATGCTCGTCTGGGAGTGTGGGTGCTGTTCCAGGCTGTCAGATGCTCATCAGGGGGTGTGGGTGCTGCTCCAGGCTGTCCGATGCTCACCTGGGGGTGTGGGGTGCTGCTCCAGGCTGTCAGATGCTCGCCTGGGGGTGTGGGTGCTGATCCAGGCTGTCACATGCTCACCTGGGGGTGTGGGTGCCGTTCCAGGCTGTCAGATGCTCGCCTGGGGGTGTGTGTGCTGTTCCAGGCTGTCACGTGCGCACCTGGGGGTGCAGGGTGCTGTTCCAGGCTGTCAGATGCTCACCTGGGTGTGTGGGTGCTGTTACATGCTGTCAGATGCTCGCCTGGGGGTGTGTGTGCTGTTCCAGGCGGTCAGATGCTCACCTGGGTGTGTGCGTGCTGTTCCAGGCTGTCAGATGCTCCCCTGGGGGTGCAGGGTGCTGTTCGAGGCTGTCACAGGCTCAGCTGGGCATGTGGGTGCTGTTCCAGTCTGTCAGATGCTCACCTGGGGGTGTGGGTTCTGTTCCAGGCTGTCAGATGCTCACCTGTGGGTGTGGGTGCTGCTCCAGACCATCACATGCGCACCTGGGGGTGTGGGTGCTGCTCCAGGCTGTCGGATGCTCGCCTGGAGGTGTGGGTGCTGCTCCGTGCGTTCAGATGCTCGCCTGGGGGTGTGGGTGCTCCTCCACGCTGTCAGATGCTCACCTGGGGGTGTGGGCACTGCTCCAGGCTGTCAGATGCTCGCCTGGGGGTGTGGGCGCTGCTCCAGACTCTCCGATGTTCACCTGTGGTTATGCGTGCTGCTCCAGACCATCAGATGCTCACCTGCGGGTGTGGGTGCCGTTCCAGGCTGTCAGATGCTCGCCTGGGGGTGTGGGTGCTTCTCCAGGCTGTCGGATGCTCACTTGGGGGTGCAGGGTGCTGTTCCAGGCTGTCAGATGCTCACCTGGGGGTGTGGGTGCTGATACATGCAGTCAGATGCTCGCCTGTGGGTGTGGGTGCTGTTCCCGGCTGTCACATGCTCACCTGGGGGTGTGCGTGCTGTTCCAGGCTGTCAGATGCTCACCTGGGGGTGCAGGGTGCTGTTCCAGGCTGTCAGAGGCTCACCTGGGCATGGGGGTGCCGTTCCAGTCTGTCAGATGCTCACCTGGGGGTGTGGGTTCTGTTCCAGGCTGTCAGATGCTCACCTGTGGGTGTGGGTTCTGCTCCAGACCATCAGATGCGCACCTGGGGGTGTGGGTGCGGACCCAGGCTGTCAGATGCTCGCCTGGGGGTGTGGGTTCTGCTCCAGGCTGTCAGATGCTCACCTGAGGGTGTGGGTGCTGCTCCAGGCTGTCGGATGCTCGCCTGGGGGTGTGGGTGCTGCTCTGTGCGTACAGATACTCGCCTGGGAGTGTGGGTGCTGCTCCAGGTTGTCAGATGCTCACCTTGGTCTGTGGGTGCTGCTCCATGGTGTCAGATGCTCACCTGGGGGTGTGGGCACTGCTCCAGGCTGTCAGATGCTCGCCCTGCAGTGTGGGCGCTGCTCCAGACTCTCCGATGCTCACCTGTGGTTGTGGGTGATGCTCCAGAACATCAGATGCTCACCTAGGGGTGTGGGTGCCGTTCCAGGCTGTCAGATGCTCGCTTGTGGGTGTGTGTGCTGCTCCAGGCTGTGGGATGCTCACCTGGGGGTGCAGGGTGCTGTTCCAGGCTCTCAGATGCTCACCTGGGGTGTGGGTGCTGCTCCACGATGTCAGATGCTCACCTGGGGGTGTGGGTGCTGTTCCAGGCAGTCAGATGCTCACGTGGGGTTGTGGGTGCTGTTCCAGGCCGTCCGATGCTCGCCTGGGGGTGTGGGTGCTGATCCAAGCTGTCACGTGCACACCTGGGGGTGCAGGCTGCTGTTCCAGGCTGTCAGATGCTCACCTGTGGGTGTGGGTGCTGTTACATGCTGTCAGATGCTCGCCTGGGGGTATGGGTGCTGTTCTAAGCTGTCAGATGCTCGTCTGGGGGTGTGGGTGGTGCTCCAGGCTGTCGGATGCTCACCTGGGTGTGCAGGGTGCTGTTCCAGGCTGTCAGATGCTCACCTGGGGTGTGGGTGCTGCTCCAGGCTGTCAGATGCTCACCTGTGGGTGTGGGGTGCTGCTGCACGATGTCAGATGCTCACCTGGGGGTGTGGGTGCTGTTCCAGGCCGTCAGATGCTCACCTGGGGTTTTTGGTGCTGTTCCAGGCTGTCGGATGCTCGCCTGGGGGTGTGGTTGCCGTTCCAGGCTGTCAGATGCTCACCTGGGCGTGTGGGTGCTGCTCCAGGCTGTCGGATGCTCACCTGGAGGTGAGGATGCCATTCCATGCGGTCAGATGCTCACCTGGGGGTATGGGTGTTGCTCCAGGCTATCGGATGCTCACCTGGGGTTGTGGGAGCTGTTTCAGGATGTCGGATGCTCACCTGGGGGTGTGGGTGCCGTTCCAGGCCATCAGATGCTCGCCTGGGTGTGTGGGTGCTGTTGCAGGCCGTCAGATGCTCACCTGGGGGTGCAGGGTGGTGTTCCAGTCTGTCAGATGCTCACCTGGGGGTGTGGATTCTGTTCCAGGCTGTCAGATGCTCACCTGTGGGTGTGGGTGCTGCTGCAAACCATCAGATGCTCACTTGGGGGTGTGGGTGCCGACCCAGGCTGTCATATGCTTGCCTGTGGGCGTGGGTTCCGCTCCAGGCTGCCGGATGCTCTCCTGGGGCTGTGCGTGCTGTTCCAGGCTGTCAGATGCTCACCTGGGGGTGTGAGTGTTGCTCCAGGCTGTCAGATGCTCGCCTGTGGGTGTGGTTGCTGTTCCAGTCTGTCAGATGCTCACCTGAGGGTGTGGGTGCTGCTCCAGGCTATCGGATGCTCACCTGGGGATGTGGGTGCTGTTCCAGGCTGTCAAATGCTCACCTGGGGCTGCAGGGTGCTGTTCCAGGCTGTCAGATGCTCACCTGGGGGTGCAGGATGCTGCTCCAGGCTGTCAGATGCTCAACTGTGGGTGTGGGTACTGCTCCAGACCATCAGATGCTCACCTGGAGGTGTGGGTGCCGACCCAGGCTGTCAGATGCTCGCCTCGGGGTGTGGGTTCTGCTCCAGGCTGTCGGATGTTCACCTGGGGGTGTGGGTGCTGTTCCCGGCTGTCAGATGCTCAACTGGGGGTGTGCGTGCTGCTCCAGCCTGTCAGATGCTCACCTGGGGGTGTGGGTGCTGTTCCAGGATATCAGCTGCTCACCTGGGGGTGTGGGTGCTGTTCCAGGCTGTCAGATCGTCACCTGGGGGTGCAGCGTGCTGCTCCAGGCTGTCAGATGCTCACCTGGGGGTGTGGGTGCTGCTGAAGGATGTCAGATGCTCGCCTGAGTGTGTGGGTGCTGTTCCAGGCTGTCGGATGCTCACCTGTGGTTGTGGGTGCTGCTCCAGACCATCAGATGCTCACCTGGTGGTGTGGGTGCCGTTCCAGGCTGTCAGATGCTCGCCTGGTGGTGTGGGTGCTGCTCCAGGCTGTCGGATGCTCACCTGGGGGTGAAGGGTGGTGTTCCAGGCTATCGGATGCTCACCTGGGCGTGTGGGTGCTGTTCCAAGCCATCAGATGCTCACCTGGGGGTGCAGGGTGGTGTTCCAGTCTGTCAGATGCTCACCTGGGGGTGTGGATTCTGTTCCAGGCTGTCAGATGCTCACCTGTGGGTGTGGGTGCTGCTGCAAACCATCAGATGCTCACTTGGGGGTGTGGGTGCCGACCCAGGCTCTCAGATGCTCGCCTGTGGCCGTGGGTTCCGCTCCAGGCTGCCGGATGCTCTCCTGGGGCTGTGCGTGCTGTTCCAGGCTGTCAAATGCTCACCTGGGGGTGTGGATGCTGCTCCAGGCTGTCAGATGCTCGCCTGGGGGTGTGGCTGCGGTTCCAGGCTGTCTGATGCTCACCTGTGGGTGTGGGTGCTGCTCCAGACCATCAGATGCGCAACTGGGGGTGAGGATGCCATGCGATGCGGTCAGATGCTCACCTGGGGGTGTGGGTGCTGTTCCAGGCTGTCAGATGCTCACCTGGGGGTGCAGGGTGCTGTTCCAGGCTGTCAGATGCTCATCTGGGCGTATGGGTGCTGTTCCAGGTTGTCAGATGCTCGCCTGGGGGTGTGTGTGCTGTTCCAGGCTGTCAGATGCTCACCTGGGGGGGCAGCGTGCTGTTCCAGGCTGTCAGATGATCACCTGGGTGTGTGGGTGCTGCTCCAGGCTGTCAGTTGCTCACCTGGGTGTGTGGGTGCTGCTCCAGGCTGTCGGATGCTCGCCTGGGGGTGTGGGTGCTGCTCCGTGTGTTCAGATGCTCGCCTGGGGGCGTGGGTGCTGCTCCAGGTTGTCAGATGCTCACCTTGGGCTGTGGGTGCTGCTCCACGCTGTCAGATGCTCACCTGGGGGTGTGGGCACTGCTCCAGGCTGTCAGATGCTCGCCTGGGTGTGTGGGCACTGCTCCTGACTCTCCGATGCTCACCTGTGGTTGTGGGTGCTGCTCCAGATCATCAGATGCTCACCTGGGGGTGTGGGTGCTGCTCCAGGTTGTCAGATGCTCACCATGGGCTATGGGTGCTGCTCCCTGTTGTCAGATGCTCACCTGGAGGTGTGGTCACTGCTCCGGGCTGTCAGATGCTCGCGTGGGGCTGTGGGCGCTGCTCCAGACTCTACGATGCTCACCTGTGGTTGTGGGTGCTGCTCCAGACAATCAGATGCTCACTTGGGGTTGTGGGTGCTGCTCCAGGTTATCGGATGCTGGCCTGGGAGTGGTGGGTGCTGCTCCAGGCTGTCGGATGCTCACCTGGGGGTGCAGGGTGCTGTTCCAGGCTGTCAGATGCTCACCTGGGGGTGTGGGTGCTGCTCCAGGCTGTCAGATGCTCACCTGTGGGTGTGGGGTGCTGCTCCACAATGTCAGATGCTCACCTGTGGGTATGGGTGTTGTTCCAGGCTGTCTGATGCTCACCTGGGGGTGTGGGTGCTGTTCCAGGCCGTCAGATGCTCGCCTTGGGGTGTTGGTGCTGTTCCAGGCTGTCACATGCGCACCTGGTGGTGCAGGCTGTTGTTCCAGGCTGTCAGATGCTCACCTGGGCGTGTGGGTTCTGTTCCAGGCTGTCAGATGCTCACCTGTGGGTGTCGGTGTTGCCGCAAACCATCAGATGCTCACCTGGGGGTGTGGGTGCCGACCCAGGCTCTCAGATGCTCGCCTGTGGCCGTGGGTTCCGCTCCAGGCTGCCGGATGCTCTCCTGGGGGTGTGAGTGCTGTTCCAGGCTGTCAAATGCTCACCTGGGGGTGTGGATGCTGCTCCAGGCTGTCAGGTGCTCGCTGGGGGTGTGGCTGCGGTTCCAGGCTGTCTGATGCTCACCTGTGGGTGTGGATGCTGCTCCAGACCATCAGATGCGCAACTGGGGGTGAGGATGCCATGCGATGCGGTCAGATGCTCACCTGGGGGTGTGGGTGCTGTTCCAGGCTGTCAGATGCTCACCTGGGGGTGCAGGGTGCTGTTCCAGGCTGTCAGATGCTCATCTGGGCGTATGGGTGCTGTTCCAGGTTGTCAGATGCTCGCCTGGGGGTGTGTGTGCTGTTCCAGGCTGTCAGATGCTCACCTGGGGGGGCAGCGTGCTGTTCCAGGCTGTCAGATGATCACCTGGGTGTGTGGGTGCTGCTCCAGGCTGTCAGTTGCTCACCTGGGTGTGTGGGTGCTGCTCCAGGCTGTCGGATGCTCGCCTGGGGGTGTGGGTGCTGCTCCGTGTGTTCAGATGCTCGCCTGTGGGCGTGGGTGCTGCTCCAGGTTGTCAGATGCTCACCTTGGGCTGTGGGTGCTGCTCCACGCTGTCAGATGCTCACCTGGGGGTGTGGGCACTGCTCTAGGCTGTCAGATGCTCGCCTGGGTGTGTGGGCACTGCTCCTGACTCTCCGATGCTCACCTGTGGTTGTGGGTGCTGCTCCAGATCATCAGATGCTCACCTGGGGGTGTGGGTGCTGCTCCAGGTTGTCAGATGCTCACCATGGGCTATGGGTGCTGCTCCCTGTTGTCAGATGCTCACCTGGAGGTGTGGTCACTGCTCCGGGCTGTCAGATGCTCGCGTGGGGCTGTGGGCGCTGCTCCAGACTCTACGATGCTCACCTGTGGTTGTGGGTGCTGCTCCAGACAATCAGATGCTCACTTGGGGTTGTGGGTGCTACTCCAGGTTATCGGATGCTGGCCTGGGAGTGGTGGGTGCTGCTCCAGGCTGTCGGATGCTCACCTGGGGGTGCAGGGTGCTGTTCCAGGCTGTCAGATGCTCACCTGGGGGTGTGGGTGCTGCTCCAGGCTGTCAGATGCTCACCTGTGGGTGTGGGGTGCGGCTCCACGATGTCAGATGCTCACCTGGGGGTGTGGGTGCTGTTCCAGGCCGTCAGATGCTCACCTGGGGGTGTGGGTGCCGACCCAGGCTGTCAGATGCTCGCCTGTTGGTGTGGGTTCTGCTGCAGGCTGCCGGATGCTCTCCTGGGGGTGTGGGTGCTGCTCCATGCGGTCAGATGCTCCCCTGGGGGTGTGGGTGCTGCTCTGGGCTGTCAGATTCTCACTTGTGCTTGTGGGTGCTACTGCGGGCTGTCAGATGCTCACCTGGAGTTCTGGGTGCTGTTTCATGCTGTCAGATGCTCGCCTGGGTTTGTGGGTGCTGCTCCGTTCGGTCAGATGCTCGCCTGGGGGTGTGGGTGCTGCTCCATGAGTTCAGATGCTCGCCTGGGGGTACTGGTGCTGCTCCGGGAGGTCAGATGCTCACCTCGGGGTGTGGGTGCTGCTCCAGGTTGTCAGATGCTCACCTTGGGCTATGGGTGCTGCTCCATGCTGTCAGATGCTCACCTGGGTGTTTGGGCACTGCTCCAGGCTGTCAGATGCTCGCCTGGGGTTGTGGGCGCTGCTCCAGACTCTCTGATGTTCACCTGTGGTTGTGGGTGCTGCTCCAGACCATCAGATGCTCAACTGGGGGTGTGGGTGCTGCTCCAGGCTGTCGGATGCTCACCTGGGTGTGCAGGGTGCTGTTCCAGGCTGTCAGAGACTCACCTGAGGGTGTGGGTGCAGCTCCAGGCTGTCAGATGCTCACCTGTGCGTGTGGGGTTATGCTCCACGAAGTCAGATGCTCAACTGTGGGTGTGGGTGCTGCTCCAGGTTGTCGGTTGCCCGCCTGGGGTTGTGGGTGCTGCTCCAGGCTGTCCAATGCTCACCTGGGGGTGTGGGTGCTGTTCCAGGCCGTCAGATGCTCGCCTGTGGGTGTCGGTGCTGTTCCAGGCTGTCACGGGCGCACCTGGGGGTGCAGGCTGCTGTTACAGGCTGTCAGAGGCTCACCTGGGCATGTGGGTGCTGTTCCAGTCTGTCACATGCTCACCTGGGGGTGTGGGTTCTGTTCCAGGCTGTCAGATGCTCACCTGTTGGTGTGGGTGCTGCTCCAGACCATCAGATGCGCACCTGCGTGTGTGGTTGCCGACCCAGGCTGTCAGATGCTCGCCTGGGGGTGTGGGTGCTCTTCCAGGCTGTCACATGCTCACCTGGGGGTGTGGGTGCTGCTCCAGGCTGTCGGATGCTCACCTGGGGGTGTGGGGTGCTGCTCCAGGCTGTCCGATGCTCGCCTGGGGGTGTGGGTGCCGTTCCAGGCCGTCAGATGCTCGCCTTGGGGTGTGGGTGCTCTTCCAGGCTGTCACGTGCGCACCTGGGGGTGCAGGGTGCTGTTGCAGGCTGTCAGATGCTCACCTGGGGGTGTGGGTGCTGTTACATGCTGTCAGATGCTCACCTGTGGGTGTGGGTGCTGTTCCAGGCTGTCAGATGCTCACCTGGGGTTGCGCGTGCTGTTCCAGGCTGTCAGAGGCTCACCTGGGCGTGTGGGTGCTGTTCCAGTCTGTCAGATGCTTACCTGAGGGTATGGTTGCTGTTCCAGGCTGTCAGATGCTCACCCGGTGATGTGGGGTGCTCTTCCAGGCTGTCAGATTCTCACCTGGGGTTGTGGGTGCTGTTCCAGGCTCTCAGATGCTCACCTGGGGTTGTCGGTGCTGCTCCAGGATGTCAGATGCTCCCCTGGGGGTGTGGGTGCTGCTACGGGCTGTCAGATTCTCACCTGTGCGTGTGGTTGCTGCTGCGGGCTGTCAGATGCTCACCTGGGGTTGTGGGTGCTGTTCCAGGCTGTCAGATGCTCGCATGGGGTTGTGGGTGCTGCTCTGTTCGGTCAGATGCTCGCCTGGGGGCGTGGGTGCTGCTCCATGGGTTCAGATGCTCGCCTGGAGGTATGGGTCCTGCTCCGGGAGGTCAGATGCTCACCTCGGGGTGTGGGTGCTGCTCCAGGTTGTCAGATGCTCACCTTGGGTTGTGGGTGCTGCTCCAGACTCTCCGATGCTCACCTGTGGTTGTGTGTGATGCTCCAGAACATCAGATTCTCACCTGGGGGTGTGGGTGCTGTTCCAGGCTGTCAGATGCTCACCTGTGGGTGTGGGGTGCTGCTCGACGATGTCAGAGGCTCACCTGGGGATGTGGGTGCTGTTCCAGGCTGTCAGATGCTCACCTGGGGGTGTGGGTGCTGCTCCAGGCTGTCAGATGCTCACCTGTGGGTGTGGGGTGCTGCTCCACGATGTCAGATGCTCACCTGGGGGTGTGGGCACTGCTCCAGGCTGTCAGATGCTCGCCTGGGTGTGTGGGCACTGCTCCTGACTCTCCGATGCTCACCTGTGGTTGTGGGTGCTGCTCCAGACCATCAGATGCTCACCTGGGTGTGTGGGTGCTGCTCCAGGTTGTCAGGTGCTCACCATGGGCTATGGGTGCTGCTCCCTGTTGTCAGATGCTCACCTCGGGGTGTGGGCACTGCTCCGGGCTGTCAGATGCTCGCCTGTGGCTGTGGGCGCTGCTCCAGACTCTACGATGCTCACCTGTGGTTGTGGGTGCTGCTCCAGACAATCAGATGCTCACTTGGGGTTGTGGGTGCTGCTCCAGGTCATCGGATGCTCGCCTGGGAGTGTGGTTGCTGCTCCAGGCTGTCGGATGCTCACCTGGGGGTGCAGGGTGCTGCTCCAGGCTGTCAGATGCTCGCCTGGGGGTGTGGCTGCGGTTCCAGGCTGTCTGATGCTCACCTGTGGGTGTGGGTGCTGCTCCAGACCATCAGATGCGCAACTGGGTGTGAGGATGCCATGTGATGCGGTCAGATGCTCACCTGGGGGTGTGGGTGCTGTTCCAGGCTGTCAGATGCTCACCTGGGGGTGCAGGGTGCTGTTCCAGGCTGTCAGATGCTCATCTGGGCGTATGGGTGCTGTTCCAGGCTGTCAGATGCTCGCCTGGGGGTGTGTGTGCTGTTCCAGGCTGTCAGATGCTCACCTGGGGGGGCAGCGTGCTGTTCCAGGCTGTCAGATGATCACCTGGGTGTGTGGGTGCTGCTCCAGGCTGTCAGTTGCTCACCTGGGTGTGTGGGTGCTGCTCCAGGCTGTCGGATGCTCGCCTGGGGGTGTGGGTGCTGCTCCGTGTGTTCAGATGCTCGCCTGGGGGCGTGGGTGCTGCTCCAGGTTGTCAGATGCTCACCTTGGGCTGTGGGTGCTGCTCCACGCTGTCAGATGCTCACCTGGGGGTGTGGGCACTGCTCCAGGCTGTCAGATGCTCGCCTGGGTGTGTGGGCACTGCTCCTGACTCTCCGATGCTCACCTGTGGTTGTGGGTGCTGCTCCAGATCATCAGATGCTCACCTGGGGGTGTGGGTGCTGCTCCAGGTTGTCAGATGCTCACCATGGGCTATGGGTGCTGCTCCCTGTTGTCAGATGCTCACCTGGAGGTGTGGTCACTGCTCCGGGCTGTCAGATGCTCGCGTGGGGCTGTGGGCGCTGCTCCAGACTCTACGATGCTCACCTGTGGTTGTGGGTGCTGCTCCAGACAATCAGATGCTCACTTGGGGTTGTGGGTGCTGCTCCAGGTTATCGGATGCTGGCCTGGGAGTGGTGGGTGCTGCTCCAGGCTGTCGGATGCTCACCTGGGGGTGCAGGGTGCTGTTCCATGCTGTCAGATGCTCACCTGGGGGTGTGGGTGCTGCTCCAGGCTGTCAGATGCTCACCTGTGGGTGTGGGGTGCGGCTCCACGATGTCAGATGCTCACCTGGGGGTGTGGGTGCTGTTCCAGGCCGTCAGATGCTCACCTGGTGGTGTGGGTGCCGACCCAGGCTGTCAGATGCTCGCCTGTTGGTGTGGGTTCTGCTGCAGGCTGCCGGATGCTCTCCTGGGGGTGTGGGTGCTGCTCCATGCGGTCAGATGCTCCCCTGGGGGTGTGGGTGCTGCTCTGGGCTGTCAGATTCTCACTTGTGCTTGTGGGTGCTACTGCGGGCTGTCAGATGCTCACCTGGAGTTCTGGGTGCTGTTTCATGCTGTCAGATGCTCGCCTGGGTTTGTGGGTGCTGCTCCGTTCGGTCAGATGCTCGCCTGGGGGTGTGGGTGCTGCTCCATGAGTTCAGATGCTCGCCTGGGGGTACTGGTGCTGCTCCGGGAGGTCAGATGCTCACCTCGGGGTGTGGGTGCTGCTCCAGGTTGTCAGATGCTCACCTTGGGCTATGGGTGCTGCTCCATGCTGTCAGATGCTCACCTGGGTGTTTGGGCACTGCTCCAGGCTGTCAGATGCTCGCCTGGGGTTGTGGGCGCTGCTCCAGACTCTCTGATGTTCACCTGTGGTTGTGGGTGCTGCTCCAGACCATCAGATGCTCAACTGGGGGTGTGGGTGCTGCTCCAGGCTGTCGGATGCTCACCTGGGTGTGCAGGGTGCTGTTCCAGGCTGTCAGAGACTCACCTGAGGGTGTGGGTGCAGCTCCAGGCTGTCAGATGCTCACCTGTGCGTGTGGGGTTATGCTCCACGAAGTCAGATGCTCAACTGTGGGTGTGGGTGCTGCTCCAGGTTGTCGGTTGCCCGCCTGGGGTTGTGGGTGCTGCTCCAGGCTGTCCAATGCTCACCTGGGGGTGTGGGTGCTGTTCCAGGCCGTCAGATGCTCGCCTGTGGGTGTCGGTGCTGTTCCAGGCTGTCACGGGCGCACCTGGGGGTGCAGGCTGCTGTTACAGGCTGTCAGAGGCTCACCTGGGCATGTGGGTGCTGTTCCAGTCTGTCACATGCTCACCTGGGGGTGTGGGTTCTGTTCCAGGCTGTCAGATGCTCACCTGTTGGTGTGGGTGCTGCTCCAGACCATCAGATGCGCACCTGCGTGTGTGGTTGCCGACCCAGGCTGTCAGATGCTCGCCTGGGGGTGTGGGTGCTCTTCCAGGCTGTCACATGCTCACCTGGGGGTGTGGGTGCTGCTCCAGGCTGTCGGATGCTCACCTGGGGGTGTGGGGTGCTGCTCCAGGCTGTCCGATGCTCGCCTGGGGTTGTGGGTGCCGTTCCAGGCCGTCAGATGCTCGCCTTGGGGTGTGGGTGCTCTTCCAGGCTGTCACGTGCGCACCTGGGGGTGCAGGGTGCTGTTGCAGGCTGTCAGATGCTCACCTGGGAGTGTGGGTGCTGTTACATGCTGTCAGATGCTCACCTGTGGGTGTGGGTGCTGTTCCAGGCTGTCAGATGCTCACCTGGGGTTGCGCGTGCTGTTCCAGGCTGTCAGAGGCTCACCTGGGCGTGTGGGTGCTGTTCCAGTCTGTCAGATGCTTACCTGAGGGTATGGTTGCTGTTCCAGGCTGTCAGATGCTCACCCGGTGATGTGGGGTGCTCTTCCAGGCTGTCAGATTCTCACCTGGGGTTGTGGGTGCTGTTCCAGGCTCTCAGATGCTCACCTGGGGTTGTCGGTGCTGCTCCAGGATGTCAGATGCTCCCCTGGGGGTGTGGGTGCTGCTACGGGCTGTCAGATTCTCACCTGGGGGTGTGGGCACTGCTCCAGGCTGTCAGATGCTCGCCTGGGTGTGTGGGCACTGCTCCTGACTCTCCGATGCTCACCTGTGGTTGTGGGTGCTGCTCCAGACCATCAGATGCTCACCTGGGTGTGTGGGTGCTGCTCCAGGTTGTCAGGTGCTCACCATGGGCTATGGGTGCTGCTCCCTGTTGTCAGATGCTCACCTCGGGGTGTGGGCACTGCTCCGGGCTGTCAGATGCTCGCCTGTGGCTGTGGGCGCTGCTCCAGACTCTACGATGCTCACCTGTGGTTGTGGGTGCTGCTCCAGACAATCAGATGCTCACTTGGGGTTGTGGGTGCTGCTCCAGGTCATCGGATGCTCGCCTGGGAGTGTGGTTGCTGCTCCAGGCTGTCGGATGCTCACCTGGGGGTGCAGGGTGCTGTTCCAGGCTGTCAGATGCTCACCTGGGGGTGTGGGTGCTGCTCCAGGCTGTCAGATGCTCACCTGTGGGTGTGGGGTGCTGCTCCACGATGTCAGATGCTCACCTGGGGGTGTGGGTGCTGTTCCAGGCCGTCAGATGCTCACCTGGGGGTGTGGGTGCCGACCCAGGCTGTCAGATGCTCGCCTGTTGGTGTGGGTTCTGCTGCAGGCTGCCGGATGCTCTCCTGGGGGTGTGGGTGCTGTTCCAGGCTATCAGATGCTCGCCTGGGGGTGTGGGTGCTGTTCCAGGCTGTCAGATGCTCACCTCGGGGTGCGCGTGCTGTTCCAAGCTGTCAGAGGCACACCTGGGCCTGTGGGTGCTGTTCCAGTCTGTCAGGTGCTCACCTGGGGGAGTGGGTGCTGTTCCAGGCTGTCAGATGCTCACCCGGGGATATGGGGTGCTCTTCCAGGCTGTCAGATTCTCACCTGGGGGTGCGGGAGCTTTTCCAGGCTCTCAGATGCTCACCTGGTGTTGTCGGTGCAGCTCCAGGATTTCAGATGCTCCCCTGGGGGTGTGGGTGCTGCTCCATGCGGTCAGATGCTCCCCTGGGGGTGTGGGTGCTGCTCCGGGCTGTCAGATTCTCACCTGTGCGTGTGGGTGCTGCTGCGGGCTGTCAGATGCTCACCTGGGGTTGTGGGTGCTGTTAAAGGCTGTCAGATGCTCGCCTGGGATTGTGGGTGCTGCTCCGTTCGGTCAGATGCTCGCCTGGGGGCGTGTGTGCTGCTCCATGGGTTCAGATGCTCGCCTGGAGGTATGGGTCCTGCTCCGGGAGGACAGATGCTCACCTCGAGGTGTGGGTGCTGCTCCAGGTTGTCAGATGCTCACCTTGGGATGTTGGTGCTGCTCCAGACTCTCCGATGCTCACCTGTGGTTGTGTGTGATGCTCCAGACAATCAGATTCTCACCTGGGGGTGTGGGTGCTGTTCCAGGCTGTCAGATGCTCACCTGGGGGTGTGGGTGCTGCTCCAGGCTGTCAGATGCTCACCTGTGGGTGTGGGGTGCTGCTCCACGATGTCAGATGCTCACCTGTGGGTATGGGTGTTGTTCCAGGCTGTCTGATGCTCACCTGGGGGTGTGGGTGCTGTTCCAGGCCGTCAGATGCTCGCCTGGGGGTGTTGGTGCTGTTCCAGGCTGTCACATGCGCACCTGGTGGTGCAGGCTGTTGTTCCAGGCTGTCAGATGCTCACCTGGGCGTGTGGGTTCTGTTCCAGGCTGTCAGATGCTCACCTGTGGGTGTCAGTGTTGCCGCAAACCATCAGATGCTCACCTGGGGGTGTGGGTGCCGACCCAGGCCCTCAGATGCTCGCCTGTGGCCGTGGGTTCCGCTCCAGGCTGCCGGATGCTCTCCTGGGGGTGTGAGTGCTGTTCCAGGCTGTCAAATGCTCACCTGGGGGTGTGGATGCTGCTCCAGGCTGTCAGATGCTCGCCTGGGGGTGTGGCTGCGGTTCCAGGCTGTCTGATGCTCACCTGTGGGTGTGGGTGCTGCTCCAGACCATCAGATGCGCAACTGGGGGTGAGGATGCCATGTGATGCGGTCAGATGCTCACCTGGGGGTGTGGGTGCTGTTCCAGGCTGTCAGATGCTCACCTGGGGGTGCAGGGTGCTGTTCCAGGCTGTCAGATGCTCATCTGGGCGTATGGGTGCTGTTCCAGGTTGTCAGATGCTCGCCTGGGGGTGTGTGTGCTGTTCCAGGCTGTCAGATGCTCACCTGGGGGGGCAGCGTGCTGTTCCAGGCTGTCAGATGATCACCTGGGTGTGTGGGTGCTGCTCCAGGCTGTCAGTTGCTCACCTGGGTGTGTGGGTGCTGCTCCAGGCTGTCGGATGCTCGCCTGGGGGTGTGGGTGCTGCTCCGTGTGTTCAGATGCTCGCCTGGGGGCGTGGGTGCTGCTCCAGGTTGTCAGATGCTCACCTTGGGCTGTGGGTGCTGCTCCACGCTGTCAGATGCTCACCTGGGGGTGTGGGCACTGCTCCAGGCTGTCAGATGCTCGCCTGGGTGTGTGGGCACTGCTCCTGACTCTCCGATGCTCACCTGTGGTTGTGGGTGCTGCTCCAGATCATCAGATGCTCACCTGGGGGTGTGGGTGCTGCTCCAGGTTGTCAGATGCTCACCATGGGCTATGGGTGCTGCTCCCTGTTGTCAGATGCTCACCTGGAGGTGTGGTCACTGCTCCGGGCTGTCAGATGCTCGTGTGGGGCTGTGGGCGCTGCTCCAGACTCTACGATGCTCACCTGTGGTTGTGGGTGCTGCTCCAGACAATCAGATGCTCACTTGGGGTTGTGGGTGCTGCTCCAGGTTATCGGATGCTGGCCTGGGAGTGGTGGGTGCTGCTCCAGGCTGTCGGATGCTCACCTGGGGGTGCAGGGTGCTGTTCCAGGCTGTCAGATGCTCACCTGGGGGTGTGGGTGCTGCTCCAGGCTGTCAGATGCTCACCTGTGGGTGTGGGGTGCGGCTCCACGATGTCAGATGCTCACCTGGGGGTGTGGGTGCTGTTCCAGGCCGTCAGATGCTCACCTGGGGGTGTGGGTGCCGACCCAGGCTGTCAGATGCTCGCCTGTTGGTGTGGGTTCTGCTGCAGGCTGCCGGATGCTCTCCTGGGGGTGTGGGTGCTGCTCCATGCGGTCAGATGCTCCCCTGGGGGTGTGGGTGCTGCTCTGGGCTGTCAGATTCTCACTTGTGCTTGTGGGTGCTACTGCGGGCTGTCAGATGCTCACCTGGAGTTCTGGGTGCTGTTTCATGCTGTCAGATGCTCGCCTGGGGTTGTGGGTGCTGCTCCGTTCGGTCAGATGCTCGCCTGGGGGTGTGGGTGCTGCTCCATGAGTTCAGATGCTCGCCTGGGGGTACTGGTGCTGCTCCGGGAGGTCAGATGCTCACCTCGGTGTGTGGGTGCTGCTTCAGGTTGTCAGATGCTCACCTTGGGCTATGGGTGCTGCTCCATGCTGTCAGATGCTCACCTGGGTGTTTGGGCACTGCTCCAGGCTGTCAGATGCTCGCCTGGGGTTGTGGGCGCTGCTCCAGACTCTCTGATGTTCACCTGTGGTTGTGGGTGCTGCTCCAGACCATCAGATGCTCAACTGGGGGTGTGGGTGCTGCTCCAGGCTGTCGGATGCTCACCTGGGTGTGCAGGGTGCTGTTCCAGGCTGTCAGAGACTCACCTGAGGGTGTGGGTGCAGCTCCAGGCTGTCAGATGCTCACCTGTGCGTGTGGGGTTATGCTCCACGAAGTCAGATGCTCAACTGTGGGTGTGGGTGCTGCTCCAGGTTGTCGGTTGCCCGCCTGGGGTTGTGGGTGCTGCTCCAGGCTGTCCAATGCTCACCTGGGGGTGTGGGTGCTGTTCCAGGCCGTCAGATGCTCGCCTGTGGGTGTCGGTGCTGTTCCAGGCTGTCACGGGCGCACCTGGGGGTGCAGGCTGCTGTTACAGGCTGTCAGAGGCTCACCTGGGCATGTGGGTGCTGTTCCAGTCTGTCACATGCTCACCTGGGGGTGTGGGTTCTGTTCCAGGCTGTCAGATGCTCACCTGTTGGTGTGGGTGCTGCTCCAGACCATCAGATGCGCACCTGCGTGTGTGGTTGCCGACCCAGGCTGTCAGATGCTCGCCTGGGGGTGTGGGTGCTCTTCCAGGCTGTCACATGCTCACCTGGGGGTGTGGGTGCTGCTCCAGGCTGTCGGATGCTCACCTGGGGGTGTGGGGTGCTGCTCCAGGCTGTCCGATGCTCGCCTGGGGGTGTGGGTGCCGTTCCAGGCCGTCAGATGCTCGCCTTGGGGTGTGGGTGCTCTTCCAGGCTGTCACGTGCGCACCTGGGGGTGCAGGGTGCTGTTGCAGGCTGTCAGATGCTCACCTGGGGGTGTGGGTGCTGTTACATGCTGTCAGATGCTCACCTGTGGGTGTGGGTGCTGTTCCAGGCTGTCAGATGCTCACCTGGGGTTGCGCGTGCTGTTCCAGGCTGTCAGAGGCTCACCTGGGCGTGTGGGTGCTGTTCCAGTCTGTCAGATGCTTACCTGAGGGTATGGTTGCTGTTCCAGGCTGTCAGATGCTCACCCGGTGATGTGGGGTGCTCTTCCAGGCTGTCAGATTCTCACCTGGGGTTGTGGGTGCTGTTCCAGGCTCTCAGATGCTCACCTGGGGTTGTCGGTGCTGCTCCAGGATGTCAGATGCTCCCCTGGGGGTGTGGGTGCTGCTACGGGCTGTCAGATTCTCACCTGTGCGTGTGGTTGCTGCTGCGGGCTGTCAGATGCTCACCTGGGGTTGTGGGTGCTGTTCCAGGCTGTCAGATGCTCGCATGGGGTTGTGGGTGCTGCTCTGTTCGGTCAGATGCTCGCCTGGGGGCGTGGGTGCTGCTCCATGGGTTCAGATGCTCGCCTGGAGGTATGGGTCCTGCTCCGGGAGGTCAGATGCTCACCTCGGGGTGTGGGTGCTGCTCCAGGTTGTCAGATGCTCACCTTGGGTTGTGGGTGCTGCTCCAGACTCTCCGATGCTCACCTGTGGTTGTGTGTGATGCTCCAGAACATCAGATTCTCACCTGGGGGTGTGGGTGCTGTTCCAGGCTGTCAGATGCTCACCTGTGGGTGTGGGGTGCTGCTCGACGATGTCAGAGGCTCACCTGGGGATGTGGGTGCTGTTCCAGGCTGTCAGATGCTCACCTGGGGGTGTGGGTGCTGCTCCAGGCTGTCAGATGCTCACCTGTGGGTGTGGGGTGCTGCTCCACGATGTCAGATGCTCACCTGGGGGTGTGGGCACTGCTCCAGGCTGTCAGATGCTCGCCTGGGTGTGTGGGCACTGCTCCTGACTCTCCGATGCTCACCTGTGGTTGTGGGTGCTGCTCCAGACCATCAGATGCTCACCTGGGTGTGTGGGTGCTGCTCCAGGTTGTCAGGTGCTCACCATGGGCTATGGGTGCTGCTCCCTGTTGTCAGATGCTCACCTCGGGGTGTGGGCACTGCTCCGGGCTGTCAGATGCTCGCCTGTGGCTGTGGGCGCTGCTCCAGACTCTACGATGCTCACCTGTGGTTGTGGGTGCTGCTCCAGACAATCAGATGCTCACTTGGGGTTGTGGGTGCTGCTCCAGGTCATCGGATGCTCGCCTGGGAGTGTGGTTGCTGCTCCAGGCTGTCGGATGCTCACCTGGGGGTGCAGGGTGCTGTTCCAGGCTGTCAGATGCTCACCTGGGGGTGTGGGTGCTGCTCCAGGCTGTCAGATGCTCACCTGTGGGTGTGGGGTGCTGCTCCACGATGTCAGATGCTCACCTGGGGGTGTGGGTGCTGTTCCAGGCCGTCAGATGCTCACCTGGGGGTGTGGGTGCCGACCCAGGCTGTCAGATGCTCGCCTGTTGGTGTGGGTTCTGCTGCAGGCTGCCGGATGCTCTCCTGGGGGTGTGGGTGCTGTTCCAGGCTATCAGATGCTCGCCTGGGGGTGTGGGTGCTGTTCCAGGCTGTCAGATGCTCACCTCGGGGTGCGCGTGCTGTTCCAAGCTGTCAGAGGCACACCTGGGCCTGTGGGTGCTGTTCCAGTCTGTCAGGTGCTCACCTGGGGGAGTGGGTGCTGTTCCAGGCTGTCAGATGCTCACCCGGGGATATGGGGTGCTCTTCCAGGCTGTCAGATTCTCACCTGGGGGTGCGGGAGCTGTTCCAGGCTCTCAGATGCTCACCTGGTGTTGTCGGTGCAGCTCCAGGATTTCAGATGCTCCCCTGGGGGTGTGGGTGCTGCTCCATGCGGTCAGATGCTCCCCTGGGGGTGTGGGTGCTGCTCCGGGCTGTCAGATTCTCACCTGTGCGTGTGGGTGCTGCTGCGGGCTGTCAGATGCTCACCTGGGGTTGTGGGTGCTGTTAAAGGCTGTCAGATGCTCGCCTGGGATTGTGGGTGCTGCTCCGTTCGGTCAGATGCTCGCCTGGGGGCGTGTGTGCTGCTCCATGGGTTCAGATGCTCGCCTGGAGGTATGGGTCCTGCTCCGGGAGGACAGATGCTCACCTCGAGGTGTGGGTGCTGCTCCAGGTTGTCAGATGCTCACCTTGGGATGTTGGTGCTGCTCCAGACTCTCCGATGCTCACCTGTGGTTGTGTGTGATGCTCCAGACAATCAGATTCTCACCTGGGGGTGTGGGTGCTGTTCCAGGCTGTCAGATGCTCACCTGGGGGTGTGGGTGCTGCTCCAGGCTGTCAGATGCTCACCTGTGGGTGTGGGGTGCTGCTCCACGATGTCAGATGCTCACCTGTGGGTATGGGTGTTGTTCCAGGCTGTCTGATGCTCACCTGGGGGTGTGGGTGCTGTTCCAGGCCGTCAGATGCTCGCCTGGGGGTGTTGGTGCTGTTCCAGGCTGTCACATGCGCACCTGGTGGTGCAGGCTGTTGTTCCAGGCTGTCAGATGCTCACCTGGGCGTGTGGGTTCTGTTCCAGGCTGTCAGATGCTCACCTGTGGGTGTCGGTGTTGCCGCAAACCATCAGATGCTCACCTGGGGGTGTGGGTGCCGACCCAGGCTCTCAGATGCTCGCCTGTGGCCGTGGGTTCCGCTCCAGGCTGCCGGATGCTCTCCTGGGGGTGTGAGTGCTGTTCCAGGCTGTCAAATGCTCACCTGGGGGTGTGGATGCTGCTCCAGGCTGTCAGATGCTCGCCTGGGGGTGTGGCTGCGGTTCCAGGCTGTCTGATGCTCACCTGTGGGTGTGGGTGCTGCTCCAGACCATCAGATGCGCAACTGGGGGTGAGGATGCCATGTGATGCGGACAGATGCTCACCTGGGGGTGTGGGTGCTGTTCCAGGCTGTCAGATGCTCACCTGGGGGTGCAGGGTGCTGTTCCAGGCTGTCAGATGCTCATCTGGGCGTATGGGTGCTGTTCCAGGTTGTCAGATGCTCGCCTGGGGGTGTGTGTGCTGTTCCAGGCTGTCAGATGCTCACCTGGGGGGGCAGCGTGCTGTACCAGGCTGTCAGATGATCACCTGGGTGTGTGGGTGCTGCTCCAGGCTGTCAGTTGCTCACCTGGGTGTGTGGGTGCTGCTCCAGGCTGTCGGATGCTCGCCTGGGGGTGTGGGTGCTGTTCCAGGCTGTCAGAGGCTCACCTGGGCGTGTGGGTGCTGTTCCAGTCTGTCAGATGCTTACCTGAGGGTATGGTTGCTGTTCCAGGCTGTCAGATGCTCACCCGGTGATGTGGGGTGCTCTTCCAGGCTGTCAGATTCTCACCTGGGGTTGTGGGTGCTGTTCCAGGCTCTCAGATGCTCACCTGGGGTTGTCGGTGCTGCTCCAGGATGTCAGATGCTCCCCTGGGGGTGTGGGTGCTGCTACGGGCTGTCAGATTCTCACCTGTGCGTGTGGTTGCTGCTGCGGGCTGTCAGATGCTCACCTGGGGTTGTGGGTGCTGTTCCAGGCTGACAGATGCTCGCATGGGGTTGTGGGTGCTGCTCTGTTCGGTCAGATGCTCGCCTGGGGGCGTGGGTGCTGCTCCATGGGTTCAGATGCTCGCCTGGAGGTATGGGTCCTGCTCCGGGAGGTCAGATGCTCACCTCGGGGTGTGGGTGCTGCTCCAGGTTGTCAGATGCTCACCTTGGGCTATGGGTGCTGCTCCATGCTGTCAGATGCTCACCTGGGTGTTTGGGCACTGCTCCAGGCTGTCAGATGCTCGCCTGGGGTTGTGGGCGTTGCTCCAGACTCTCTGATGTTCACCTGTGGTTGTGGGTGCTGCTCCAGACCATCAGTTGCTCAACTGGGGGTGTGGGTGCTGCTCCAGGCTGTCGGATGCTCACCTGGGTGTGCAGGGTGCTGTTCCAGGCTGTCAGAGACTCACCTGAGGGTGTGGGTGCAGCTCCAGGCTGTCAGATGCTCACCTGTGCGTGTGGGGTTATGCTCCACGAAGTCAGATGCTCAACTGTGGGTGTGGGTGCTGCTCCAGGTTGTCGGTTGCCCGCCTGGGGTTGTGGGTGCTGCTCCAGGCTGTCCAATGCTCACCTGGGGGTGTGGGTGCTGTTCCAGGCCGTCAGATGCTCGCCTGTGGGTGTCGGTGCTGTTCCAGGCTGTCACGGGCGCACCTGGGGGTGCAGGCTGCTGTTACAGGCTGTCAGAGGCTCACCTGGGCATGTGGGTGCTGTTCCAGTCTGTCACATGCTCACCTGGGGGTGTGGGTTCTGTTCCAGGCTGTCAGATGCTCACCTGTTGGTGTGGGTGCTGCTCCAGACCATCAGATGCGCACCTGCGTGTGTGGTTGCCGACCCAGGCTGTCAGATGCTCGCCTGGGGGTGTGGGTGCTCTTCCAGGCTGTCACATGCTCACCTGGGGGTGTGGGTGCTGCTCCAGGCTGTCGGATGCTCACCTGGGGGTGTGGGGTGCTGCTCCAGGCTGTCCGATGCTCGCCTGGGGGTGTGGGTGCCGTTCCAGGCCGTCAGATGCTCGCCTTGGGGTGTGGGTGCTCTTCCAGGCTGTCACGTGCGCACCTGGGGGTGCAGGGTGCTGTTGCAGGCTGTCAGATGCTCACCTGGGGGTGTGGGTGCTGTTACATGCTGTCAGATGCTCACCTGTGGGTGTGGGTGCTGTTCCAGGCTGTCAGATGCTCACCTGGGTTTGCGCGTGCTGTTCCAGGCTGTCAGAGGCTCACCTGGGCGTGTGGGTGCTGTTCCAGTCTGTCAGATGCTTACCTGAGGGTATGGTTGCTGTTCCAGGCTGTCAGATGCTCACCCGGTGATGTGGGGTGCTCTTCCAGGCTGTCAGATTCTCACCTGGGGTTGTGGGTGCTGTTCCAGGCTCTCATATGCTCACCTGGGGTTGTCGGTGCTGCTCCAGGATGTCAGATGCTCCCCTGGGGGTGTGGGTGCTGCTACGGGCTGTCAGATTCTCACCTGTGCGTGTGGTTGCTGCTGCGGGCTGTCAGATGCTCACCTGGGGTTGTGGGTGCTGTTCCAGGCTGTCAGATGCTCGCATGGGGTTGTGGGTGCTGCTCTGTTCGGTCAGATGCTCGCCTGGGGGCGTGGGTGCTGCTCCATGGGTTCAGATGCTCGCCTGGAGGTATGGGTCCTGCTCCGGGAGGTCAGATGCTCACCTCGGGGTGTGGGTGCTGCTCCAGGTTGTCAGATGCTCACCTTGGGTTGTGGGTGCTGCTCCAGACTCTCCGATGCTCACCTGTGGTTGTGTGTGATGCTCCAGAACATCAGATTCTCACCTGGGGGTGTGGGTGCTGTTCCAGGCTGTCAGATGCTCACCTGTGGGTGTGGGGTGCTGCTCGACGATGTCAGAGGCTCACCTGGGGATGTGGGTGCTGTTCCAGGCTGTCAGATGCTCACCTGGGGGTGTGGGTGCTGCTCCAGGCTGTCAGATGCTCACCTGTGGGTGTGGGGTGCTGCTCCACGATGTCAGATGCTCACCTGGGGGTGTGGGCACTGCTCCAGGCTGTCAGATGCTCGCCTGGGTGTGTGGGCACTGCTCCTGACTCTCCGATGCTCACCTGTGGTTGTGGGTGCTGCTCCAGACCATCAGATGCTCACCTGGGTGTGTGGGTGCTGCTCCAGGTTGTCAGGTGCTCACCATGGGCTATGGGTGCTGCTCCCTGTTGTCAGATGCTCACCTCGGGGTGTGGGCACTGCTCCGGGCTGTCAGATGCTCGCCTGTGGCTGTGGGCGCTGCTCCAGACTCTACGATGCTCACCTGTGGTTGTGGGTGCTGCTCCAGACAATCAGATGCTCACTTGGGGTTGTGGGTGCTGCTCCAGGTCATCGGATGCTCGCCTGGGAGTGTGGTTGCTGCTCCAGGCTGTCGGATGCTCACCTGGGGGTGCAGGGTGCTGTTCCAGGCTGTCAGATGCTCACCTGGGGGTGTGGGTGCTGCTCCAGGCTGTCAGATGCTCACCTGTGGGTGTGGGGTGCTGCTCCACGATGTCAGATGCTCACCTGGGGGTGTGGGTGCTGTTCCAGGCCGTCAGATGCTCACCTGGGGGTGTGGGTGCCGACCCAGGCTGTCAGATGCTCGCCTGTTGGTGTGGGTTCTGCTGCAGGCTGCCGGATGCTCTCCTGGGGGTGTGGGTGCTGTTCCAGGCTATCAGATGCTCGCCTGGGGGTGTGGGTGCTGTTCCAGGCTGTCAGATGCTCACCTCGGGGTGCGCGTGCTGTTCCAAGCTGTCAGAGGCACACCTGGGCCTGTGGGTGCTGTTCCAGTCTGTCAGGTGCTCACCTGGGGGAGTGGGTGCTGTTCCAGGCTGTCAGATGCTCACCCGGGGATATGGGGTGCTCTTCCAGGCTGTCAGATTCTCACCTGGGGGTGCGGGAGCTGTTCCAGGCTCTCAGATGCTCACCTGGTGTTGTCGGTGCAGCTCCAGGATTTCAGATGCTCCCCTGGGGGTGTGGGTGCTGCTCCATGCGGTCAGATGCTCCCCTGGGGGTGTGGGTGCTGCTCCGGGCTGTCAGATTCTCACCTGTGCGTGTGGGTGCTGCTGCGGGCTGTCAGATGCTCACCTGGGGTTGTGGGTGCTGTTAAAGGCTGTCAGATGCTCGCCTGGGATTGTGGGTGCTGCTCCGTTCGGTCAGATGCTCGCCTGGGGGCGTGTGTGCTGCTCCATGGGTTCAGATGCTCGCCTGGAGGTATGGGTCCTGCTCCGGGAGGACAGATGCTCACCTCGAGGTGTGGGTGCTGCTCCAGGTTGTCAGATGCTCACCTTGGGATGTTGGTGCTGCTCCAGACTCTCCGATGCTCACCTGTGGTTGTGTGTGATGCTCCAGACAATCAGATTCTCACCTGGGGGTGTGGGTGCTGTTCCAGGCTGTCAGATGCTCACCTGGGGGTGTGGGTGCTGCTCCAGGCTGTCAGATGCTCACCTGTGGGTGTGGGGTGCTGCTCCACGATGTCAGATGCTCACCTGTGGGTATGGGTGTTGTTCCAGGCTGTCTGATGCTCACCTGGGGGTGTGGGTGCTGTTCCAGGCCGTCAGATGCTCGCCTGGGGGTGTTGGTGCTGTTCCAGGCTGTCACATGCGCACCTGGTGGTGCAGGCTGTTGTTCCAGGCTGTCAGATGCTCACCTGGGCGTGTGGGTTCTGTTCCAGGCTGTCAGATGCTCACCTGTGGGTGTCGGTGTTGCCGCAAACCATCAGATGCTCACCTGGGGGTGTGGGTGCCGACCCAGGCTCTCAGATGCTCGCCTGTGGCCGTGGGTTCCGCTCCAGGCTGCCGGATGCTCTCCTGGGGGTGTGAGTGCTGTTCCAGGCTGTCAAATGCTCACCTGGGGGTGTGGATGCTGCTCCAGGCTGTCAGATGCTCGCCTGGGGGTGTGGCTGCGGTTCCAGGCTGTCTGATGCTCACCTGTGGGTGTGGGTGCTGCTCCAGACCATCAGATGCGCAACTGGGGGTGAGGATGCCATGTGATGCGGACAGATGCTCACCTGGGGGTGTGGGTGCTGTTCCAGGCTGTCAGATGCTCACCTGGGGGTGCAGGGTGCTGTTCCAGGCTGTCAGATGCTCATCTGGGCGTATGGGTGCTGTTCCAGGTTGTCAGATGCTCGCCTGGGGGTGTGTGTGCTGTTCCAGGCTGTCAGATGCTCACCTGGGGGGGCAGCGTGCTGTACCAGGCTGTCAGATGATCACCTGGGTGTGTGGGTGCTGCTCCAGGCTGTCAGTTGCTCACCTGGGTGTGTGGGTGCTGCTCCAGGCTGTCGGATGCTCGCCTGGGGGTGTGGGTGCTGTTCCAGGCTGTCAGAGGCTCACCTGGGCGTGTGGGTGCTGTTCCAGTCTGTCAGATGCTTACCTGAGGGTATGGTTGCTGTTCCAGGCTGTCAGATGCTCACCCGGTGATGTGGGGTGCTCTTCCAGGCTGTCAGATTCTCACCTGGGGTTGTGGGTGCTGTTCCAGGCTCTCAGATGCTCACCTGGGGTTGTCGGTGCTGCTCCAGGATGTCAGATGCTCCCCTGGGGGTGTGGGTGCTGCTACGGGCTGTCAGATTCTCACCTGTGCGTGTGGTTGCTGCTGCGGGCTGTCAGATGCTCACCTGGGGTTGTGGGTGCTGTTCCAGGCTGACAGATGCTCGCATGGGGTTGTGGGTGCTGCTCTGTTCGGTCAGATGCTCGCCTGGGGGCGTGGGTGCTGCTCCATGGGTTCAGATGCTCGCCTGGAGGTATGGGTCCTGCTCCGGGAGGTCAGATGCTCACCTCGGGGTGTGGGTGCTGCTCCAGGTTGTCAGATGCTCACCTTGGGCTATGGGTGCTGCTCCATGCTGTCAGATGCTCACCTGGGTGTTTGGGCACTGCTCCAGGCTGTCAGATGCTCGCCTGGGGTTGTGGGCGCTGCTCCAGACTCTCTGATGTTCACCTGTGGTTGTGGGTGCTGCTCCAGACCATCAGTTGCTCAACTGGGGGTGTGGGTGCTGCTCCAGGCTGTCGGATGCTCACCTGGGTGTGCAGGGTGCTGTTCCAGGCTGTCAGAGACTCACCTGAGGGTGTGGGTGCAGCTCCAGGCTGTCAGATGCTCACCTGTGCGTGTGGGGTTATGCTCCACGAAGTCAGATGCTCAACTGTGGGTGTGGGTGCTGCTCCAGGTTGTCGGTTGCCCGCCTGGGGTTGTGGGTGCTGCTCCAGGCTGTCCAATGCTCACCTGGGGGTGTGGGTGCTGTTCCAGGCCGTCAGATGCTCGCCTGTGGGTGTCGGTGCTGTTCCAGGCTGTCACGGGCGCACCTGGGGGTGCAGGCTGCTGTTACAGGCTGTCAGAGGCTCACCTGGGCATGTGGGTGCTGTTCCAGTCTGTCACATGCTCACCTGGGGGTGTGGGTTCTGTTCCAGGCTGTCAGATGCTCACCTGTTGGTGTGGGTGCTGCTCCAGACCATCAGATGCGCACCTGCGTGTGTGGTTGCCGACCCAGGCTGTCAGATGCTCGCCTGGGGGTGTGGGTGCTCTTCCAGGCTGTCACATGCTCACCTGGGGGTGTGGGTGCTGCTCCAGGCTGTCGGATGCTCACCTGGGGGTGTGGGGTGCTACTCCAGGCTGTCCGATGCTCGCCTGGGGGTGTGGGTGCCGTTCCAGGCCGTCAGATGCTCGCCTTGGGGTGTGGGTGCTCTTCCAGGCTGTCACGTGCGCACCTGGGGGTGCAGGGTGCTGTTGCAGGCTGTCAGATGCTCACCTGGGGGTGTGGGTGCTGTTACATGCTGTCAGATGCTCACCTGTGGGTGTGGGTGCTGTTCCAGGCTGTCAGATGCTCACCTGGGGTTGCGCGTGCTGTTCCAGGCTGTCAGAGGCTCACCTGGGCGTGTGGGTGCTGTTCCAGTCTGTCAGATGCTTACCTGAGGGTATGGTTGCTGTTCCAGGCTGTCAGATGCTCACCCGGTGATGTGGGGTGCTCTTCCAGGCTGTCAGATTCTCACCTGGGGTTGTGGGTGCTGTTCCAGGCTCTCAGATGCTCACCTGGGGTTGTCGGTGCTGCTCCAGGATGTCAGATGCTCCCCTGGGGGTGTGGGTGCTGCTACGGGCTGTCAGATTCTCACCTGTGCGTGTGGTTGCTGCTGCGGGCTGTCAGATGCTCACCTGGGGTTGTGGGTGCTGTTCCAGGCTGTCAGATGCTCGCATGGGGTTGTGGGTGCTGCTCTGTTCGGTCAGATGCTCGCCTGGGGGCGTGGGTGCTGCTCCATGGGTTCAGATGCTCGCCTGGAGGTATGGGTCCTGCTCCGGGAGGTCAGATGCTCACCTCGGGGTGTGGGTGCTGCTCCAGGTTGTCAGATGCTCACCTTGGGTTGTGGGTGCTGCTCCAGACTCTCCGATGCTCACCTGTGGTTGTGTGTGATGCTCCAGAACATCAGATTCTCACCTGGGGGTGTGGGTGCTGTTCCAGGCTGTCAGATGCTCACCTGTGGGTGTGGGGTGCTGCTCGACGATGTCAGAGGCTCACCTGGGGATGTGGGTGCTGTTCCAGGCTGTCAGATGCTCACCTGGGGGTGTGGGTGCTGCTCCAGTCTGTCAGATGCTCACCTGTGGGTGTGGGGTGCTGCTCCACGATGTCAGATGCTCACCTGGGGGTGTGGGCACTGCTCCAGGCTGTCAGATGCTCGCCTGGGTGTGTGGGCACTGCTCCTGACTCTCCGATGCTCACCTCTGGTTGTGGGTGCTGCTCCAGACCATCAGATGCTCACCTGGGTGTGTGGGTGCTGCTCCAGGTTGTCAGGTGCTCACCATGGGCTATGGGTGCTGCTCCCTGTTGTCAGATGCTCACCTCGGTGTGTGGGCACTGCTCCGGGCTGTCAGATGCTCGCCTGTGGCTGTGGGCGCTGCTCCAGACTCTACGATGCTCACCTGTGGTTGTGGGTGCTGCTCCAGACAATCAGATGCTCACTTGGGGTTGTGGGTGCTGCTCCAGGTCATCGGATGCTCGCCTGGGAGTGTGGTTGCTGCTCCAGGCTGTCGGATGCTCACCTGGGGGTGCAGGGTGCTGTTCCAGGCTGTCAGATGCTCACCTGGGGGTGTGGGTGCTGCTCCAGGCTGTCAGATGCTCACCTGTGGGTGTGGGGTGCTGCTCCACGATGTCAGATGCTCACCTGGGGGTGTGGGTGCTGTTCCAGGCCATCAGATGCCCACCTGGGGGTGTGGGTGCCGACCCAGGCTGTCAGATGCTCGCCTGTTGGTGTGGGTTCTGCTGCAGGCTGCCGGATGCTCTCCTGGGGGTGTGGGTGCTGTTCCAGGCTATCAGATGCTCGCCTGGGGGTGTGGGTGCTGTTCCAGGCTGTCAGATGCTCACCTGGGGGTGCGCGTGCTGTTCCAAGCTGTCAGAGGCACACCTGGGCCTGTGGGTGCTGTTCCAGTCTGTCAGGTGCTCACCTGGGGGAGTGGGTGCTGTTCCAGGCTGTCAGATGCTCACCCGGGGATATGGGGTGCTCTTCCAGGCTGTCAGATTCTCACCTGGGGGTGCGGGAGCTGTTCCAGGCTCTCAGATGCTCACCTGTTGTTGTCGGTGCAGCTCCAGGATTTCAGATGCTCCCCTGGGGGTGTGGGTGCTGCTCCATGCGGTCAGATGCTCCCCTGGGGGTGTGGGTGCTGCTCCGGGCTGTCAGATTCTCACCTGTGCGTGTGGGTGCTGCTGCGGGCTGTCAGATGCTCACCTGGGGTTGTGGGTGCTGTTAAAGGCTGTCAGATGCTCGCCTGGGATTGTGGGTGCTGCTCCGTTCGGTCAGATGCTCGCCTGGGGGCGTGTGTGCTGCTCCATGGGTTCAGATGCTCGCCTGGAGGTATGGGTCCTGCTCCGGGAGGACAGATGCTCACCTCGAGGTGTGGGTGCTGCTCCAGGTTGTCAGATGCTCACCTTGGGATGTTGGTGCTGCTCCAGACTCTCCGATGCTCACCTGTGGTTGTGTGTGATGCTCCAGACAATCAGATTCTCACCTGGGGGTGTGGGTGCTGTTCCAGGCTGTCAGATGCTCACCTGGGGGTGTGGGTGCTGCTCCAGGCTGTCAGATGCTCACCTGTGGGTGTGGGGTGCTGCTCCACGATGTCAGATGCTCACCTGTGGGTATGGGTGTTGTTCCAGGCTGTCTGATGCTCACCTGGGGGTGTGGGTGCTGTTCCAGGCCGTCAGATGCTCGCCTGGGGGTGTTGGTGCTGTTCCAGGCTGTCACATGCGCACCTGGTGGTGCAGGCTGTTGTTCCAGGCTGTCAGATGCTCACCTGGGCGTGTGGGTTCTGTTCCAGGCTGTCAGATGCTCACCTGTGGGTGTCGGTGTTGCCGCAAACCATCAGATGCTCACCTGGGGGTGTGGGTGCCGACCCAGGCTCTCAGATGCTCGCCTGTGGCCGTGGGTTCCGCTCCAGGCTGCCGGATGCTCTCCTGGGGGTGTGAGTGCTGTTCCAGGCTGTCAAATGCTCACCTGGGGGTGTGGATGCTGCTCCAGGCTGTCAGATGCTCGCCTGGGGGTGTGGCTGCGGTTCCAGGCTGTCTGATGCTCACCTGTGGGTGTGGGTGCTGCTCCAGACCATCAGATGCGCAACTGGGGGTGAGGATGCCATGTGATGCGGTCAGATGCTCACCTGGGGGTGTGGGTGCTGTTCCAGGCTGTCAGATGCTCACCTGGGGGTGCAGGGTGCTGTTCCAGGCTGTCAGATGCTCATCTGGGCGTATGGGTGCTGTTCCAGGTTGTCAGATGCTCGCCTGGGGGTGTGTGTGCTGTTCCAGGCTGTCAGATGCTCACCTGGGGGGGCAGCGTGCTGTTCCAGGCTGTCAGATGATCACCTGGGT
Source organism: Homo sapiens (assembly GCF_000001405.40). Lineage (NCBI taxonomy): Eukaryota > Metazoa > Chordata > Mammalia > Primates > Hominidae > Homo > Homo sapiens. Next base: position 219,078 of record NT_187515.1, on the reverse strand, counting down.
GTGTGGGTGCTGCTCCAGGCTGTCAGTTGCTCACCTGGGTGTGTGGGTGCTGCTCCAGGCTGTCGGATGCTCACCTGGGGGTGTGGGTGCTGTTACATGCTGTCAGATGCTCGCCTGGGGGTGTGGGTGCTGTTCCAGGCTGTCAGATGCTCACCTGGGGGTGTGTGTGCTGTTCCAGGCTGTCAGATGCTCCCCTGGGGGTGCAGGGTGCTGTTCCAGGCTGTCAGAGGCTCACCTGGGCATGTGGGTGCTGTTCCAGTCTGTCAGATGTTCACCTGGGGGTGTGGGTTCTGTTCCAGGCTGTCAGATGCTCACCTGTGGGTGTGGGTGCTGCTCCAGACCATCAGATGCGCACCTGGGGGTGTGGGTGCTGCTCCAGGCTGTCGGATGCTCCCCTAGGGGTGTTGGTGCTGCTCCGTGCGTTCAGATACTCGCCTGGGGGTGTGGTTGCTGCTCCAGGTTGTCAGATGCTCACCTTGGGCTGTGGGTGATGCTCCACGCTGTCACATGCTCACCTGGGGGTGTGGGCACTGCTCCAGGCTGTCAGATGCTCGCCTGGGGGTGTGGGCGCTGCTCCAGACTCTCCGATGCTCACCTTTGGTTGTGGGTGCTGCTCCAGACCATCAGATGCTCACCTGGGGGTGTGGGTGCCATTCCAGGCTGTCAGATGCTCGCCTGGGGGTGTGGTTGCTGCTCCAGGCTGTCGGATGCTCACCTGGGGGTGCAGGGTGCTGTTCCAGTCTGTCAGATGCTCACCTGGGGGTGTGGGTGCTCCTCCAGGCTGTCAGATGCTCACCTGTGGGTGTGGGCTGCTGCTCCACGATGTCAGGTGCTCACCTGGGGGTGTGGATGCTGCTCCAGGCTGTCGGATGCTCGCCTGGGCTTCTGGGTGCTGCTCCAGGCTGTCCAATGCTCACCTGGGGGTGTGGGTGCTGTTCCACGCTGTCAGATGCTCACCTGGGTGTGCGCGTGCTGTTCCAGGCAGTCAGAGGCTCAACTGGGCGGGTGGGTGCTGTTCCAGTCTGTCAGATGCTCACCTGGGGGTGTGGGTTCTGTTCCAGGCTGTCAGATGCTCACCTGTGTGTGTGGGTGCTGCTCCAGACCATCAGATGCTCACCTGGGGGTGTGGGTGCCCACCCAGGCTGTCAGATGCTCGCCTGGTGGTGTGGGTTCTGCTCCAGACTCTCGGATGTTCATCTGGGGGTGTGGGTGCTGTTCCAGGCTGTCAGATGCTCACCTGGGGGTGTGCGTGCTGCTCCAGCCTGTCAGATACTCACCTGGGGGTGTGGGTGCTGTTCCAGGATATCAGATGCTCACCTGGGGGGGTGGGTGCTGTGCCAGGCTGTCAGATGCTCGCCTGGGTGTGTGGGTGCTGCTCCAGGCTGTCGGATGCTCACCTGGGGGTGTGGGTGCTGTTCCAGGCTGTCAGATCCTCACCTGGGGGTGTGGGTGCTGCTCCAGGCTGTCGGATGCTCACCTGGGGGTGTGGGTGCTGTTCCAGGCTGTCAGATGCTCACCTGGGGGTGTGGGTGCTGCTCCAGGCTGTCGGATGCACACCTGGGGGTGTGGGTGCAGTTCCAGGCTGTCGGATGCTCATCTGGGGGTGTGGTTGCTGCTCCAGGTGGTCAGATGCTCACTTGGGGGTGCAGGGTGCTGTTCCAGGCTGTCAGATGCTCACCTGGGGGTGTGGGTGCTGCTTCAGGCTGTCAGATGCTCACCTGGAGTGTGGGTGCTGCTCCAGGCTGTCTGATCCTCACCCGGGGGTGCAGGGTGCTGTTCCCGGCTGTCAGATGCTCGCCTGGGGGTGTGGTTGCTATTCCAGGCTGTCAGATGCTCACCTGGGGGTGTGGGTGCTGCTCCAGGCTGTCGGATGCTCACCTGGAGGTGAGGATGCCATTCCATGCGGTCAGATGCTCACCTGGGGGTATGGGTGCTGCTCCAGGCTGTCGGATGCTCACCTGGGATTGTGGGAGCTGTTTCAGGATGTCGGATGCTCACCTGGGGGTGTGGGTGCCATTCCAGGCCATCAGATGCTCCCCTGGGTGAGTGGGTGCTGTTCCAGGCTGTCAGGTGCACACCTGGGGATGTAGGGTGCTGTTCCAGGCTGTCAGATGCTCATCTGGGCGTATGGGTGCTGTTCCAGGCTGTCAGATGCTCGCCTGGGGGTGCAGGGTGCTGTTCCAGGCTGTCAGATGCTCATCTGGGCGTATGGGTGCTATTGCAGGTTGTCAGATGCTCGCCTGGGGGTGTGTGTGGTGTTCCAGGGTGTCAGATGCTCACCTGGGGGTGCAGGGTGCTGTTCCAGGCTGTCAGATGCTCACCTGGGGATGCAGGGTGCTGCTCCAGGCTGTCAGATGCTCACCTGGGTGTGTGGGTGCTGTTCCAGCCTGTCACGTGCGCACCTGGGGGTGCAGGGTGCTGTTCCAGGCTGTCAGATGCTCACCTGGGGGTGTGAGTGCTGTTGCATGCTGTCAGATGCTCGCCTGGGGGTGTGGGTGCTCTTCCAGGCTTTCAGATGCTCACCTGGGTGTGTGCGTGCTGTTCCAGGCTGTCAGATGCTCACCTGGGTGTGCAGGGTGCTGTTCCAGGCTGTCAGAGGCTCACCTGGGCATGTGGGTGCTGTTCCAGTCTGTCAGATGCTCACCTGGGGGTGTGGGTTCTGTTCCAGGCTCTCAGATGCTCACCTGTGTGTGTGGGTGCTGCTCCAGACCATCAGATGCGCACCTGGGGGTGTGGGTGCTGCTCCAGGCTGTCGGATGCTCGCCGGGAGGTGTGGGTGCTGCTCCGTGCGTTCAGATGCTCGCCTGGGGGTGTGGGTGCTGCTCCTGGTTGTCAGATGCTCACCTTGGGCTGTGGGTGCTGCTCCACGCTGTCAGATGCTCACCTGGGGGTTTGGGCACTGCTCCAGGCTGTCAGATGCTCGCCTGGGGGTGTGGGCGCTGCTCCAGACTCTCCGATGTTCACCTGTGGTTGTGGGTGCTGCTCCAGACCATCAGATGCTCACCTGGGTGTGTGGGTGCCATTCCAGGCTGTCAGATGCTCGCGTGGGGGTGTGGGTGCTGCTCCAGGCTTTCGGATGCTCACCTGGGGGTGCAGGGTGCTGTTCCAGGCTGTCAGATGCTCACCTGGGGGTGTGGTTGCTGCTCCAGGCTGTCAGATGCTCACTTGGGGGTGCAGCGTGCTGTTCCAGGCTGTCAGATGCTAACCTGGGGTTGTGAGAGCTGTTGCAGGCTGTAAGATGCTCACTGGGGGTGTGCGTGCTGCTCCAGCCTGTCAGATGCTCACCTGGGGGTGTGGGTGCTGTTCCAGGATATCAGATGCTCACCTGGGGGTGTGGGTGCTGCTCCAGGCTGTCGGATGCTCACCTGGGGGTGTCGGTGCTGTTCCAGGCTGTTGGATGCTCACCTGGGGGTGTGGTTGCTGCTCCAGGCTGTCAGGTGCTCACTTGGGGGTGCAGCGTGCTGTTCTGGGCTGTCAGATGCTCACCTGGGGTTGTGAGAGCTGTTCCAGGCTGTCAGATGCTCACCTGGGGGTGTGGGTGCTGTTCCAGGCTGTCAGATGCTCACCTGTTGGTGTGGGTGCTGCTTCAGGCTGTCAGATGCTCACCTGGAGTGTGGGTGCTGCTCCAGGCTGTCTGATCCTCACTCGCGGGTGCAGGGTTCTGTTCCAGGCTGTCAGATGCTTGCCTGGGGTTGTGGTTGCTGTTCCAGGCTGTCAGATGCTCGCCCCGGGGTGTGGTTGCTGTTCCAGGCTGTCAGATGCTCACCTAGGGGTGTGGGTGCTGCTCCAGGCTGTCCGATGCTCACCTGGAGGTGAGGATGCCATTCCTTGCGGTCAGATACTCACCTGGGGGTGTGGGTGCTGCTCCAGGCTGTCGGATGCTCACCTGGGGGTGTGGGAGCTGTTTCAGGATGTCGGATGCTCACCTGGGGGTGTGGGTGCCGTTCCAGGCCGTCAGATGCTCGCCTGGGGGTGTGGGTGCTGTTCCAGGCTGTCAGGTGCGCACCTGGGGGTGCAGGGTGCTTTTCCAGGCCGTCAGATTCTCATCTGGGCGTATGGGTGCTGTTCCAGGCTGTCAGATGCTCGCCTGGGTGTGTGGGTGCTGTTCCAGACTGTCAGATGCTCACCTGGGGGTGCAGGGTGCTGTTCCAGGCTGTCAGATGCTCATCTGGGCGTATGGGTGCTGTTCCAGACTGTCAGATGCTCACCTGGGGGTGCAGGGTGCTTTTCCAGGCTGTCAGATGCTCACCTGGGGGTGTGGGTGCTGCTCCAGGCTGTCAGATGCTCACCTGGGTGTGTGGGTGCTGCTCCAGGCTGTCGGATGCTCGCCTGGGGGTGTGGGTGCTGCTCCGTGCGTTCAGATGCTCGCCTGGGGGTGTGGGTGCTGCTCCAGGTTGTCAGATGCTCACCTTGGGCTGTGGGTGCTGCTCCACGCTGTCAGATGCTCACCTGGTGGTGTGGGCACTGCTCCAGGCTGTCAGATGCTCGCCTGGGGGTGTGGGCACTGCTCCAGACTCTCCGATGCTCACCTGTGGTTGTGGGGGCTGCTCCAGACCATCAGATGCTCAACTGGGGGTGTGGGTGCTGCTCCAGGCTGTCGGATGCTCACCTGTGGGTGTGGGTGCTGCTCCAGACCATCAGATGCTCACCTTGGGCTGTGGGTGCTGCTCCATGCTGTCAGATGCTCACCTGGGGGTGTGGGCACTGCTCCAGGCTGTCAGATGCTCGCCTGGGTGTGTGGGCGCTGCTCCAGACTCTCCGATGCTCACTTGTGGTTGTGGGTGCTGCTCCAGACCATCAGATGCTCACCTGGGGGTGTGGGTGCTGTTCCAGGCTGTCAGATGCTCGCCTGGGGGTGTGGATGCTGCTCCAGGCTGTCGGATGCTCACCTGGGGGTGCAGGGTGCTGTTCCAGGCTGTCAGATGCTCACCTGGGGTGTGGGTGCTGCTCCAGGCTGTCAGATGCTCACTTGTGGGTGTGGGGTGCTGCTCCACGATGTCAGATGCTCACCTGCGGGTGTGGGTGCTATTCCAGGCCGTCAGATACTCACCTGGGGGTGTGGGTGCTGTTCCAGGCCATCAGATGCTCGCCTGGGGGTGTGGGTGCTGTTCCAGGCTGTCACGTGCACACCTGGGGGTGCAGGCTGGTGTTCCAGGCTGTCAGATGCTCACCTGGGGGTGTGGGTGCTGTTACATGCTGTCAGATGCTCGCCTGGGGGTGTGGGTGCTGTTCCAGGCTGTCAGATGCTCACCTGGGGGTGTGTGTGCTGTTCCAGGCTGTCAGATGCTCCCCTGGGGGTGCAGGGTGCTGTTCCAGGCTGTCAGAGGCTCACCTGGGCATGTGGGTGCTGTTCCAGTCTGTCAGATGTTCACCTGGGGGTGTGGGTTCTGTTCCAGGCTGTCAGATGCTCACCTGTGGGTGTGGGTGCTGCTCCAGACCATCAGATGCGCACCTGGGGGTGTGGGTGCTGCTCCAGGCTGTCGGATGCTCCCCTAGGGGTGTTGGTGCTGCTCCGTGCGTTCAGATACTCGCCTGGGGGTGTGGTTGCTGCTCCAGGTTGTCAGATGCTCACCTTGGGCTGTGGGTGCTGCTCCACGCTGTCACATGCTCACCTGGGGGTGTGGGCACTGCTCCAGGCTGTCAGATGCTCGCCTGGGGGTGTGGGCGCTGCTCCAGACTCTCCGATGCTCACCTTTGGTTGTGGGTGCTGCTCCAGACCATCAGATGCTCACCTGGGGGTGTGGGTGCCATTCCAGGCTGTCAGATGCTCGCCTGGGGGTGTGGTTGCTGCTCCAGGCTGTCGGATGCTCACCTGGGGGTGCAGGGTGCTGTTCCAGTCTGTCAGATGCTCACCTGGGGGTGTGGGTGCTCCTCCAGGCTGTCAGATGCTCACCTGTGGGTGTGGGCTGCTGCTCCACGATGTCAGGTGCTCACCTGGGGGTGTGGATGCTGCTCCAGGCTGTCGGATGCTCGCCTGGGCTTCTGGGTGCTGCTCCAGGCTGTCCAATGCTCACCTGGGGGTGTGGGTGCTGTTCCACGCTGTCAGATGCTCACCTGGGTGTGCGCGTGCTGTTCCAGGCAGTCAGAGGCTCAACTGGGCGGGTGGGTGCTGTTCCAGTCTGTCAGATGCTCACCTGGGGGTGTGGGTTCTGTTCCAGGCTGTCAGATGCTCACCTGTGTGTGTGGGTGCTGCTCCAGACCATCAGATGCTCACCTGGGGGTGTGGGTGCCCACCCAGGCTGTCAGATGCTCGCCTGGTGGTGTGGGTTCTGCTCCAGACTGTCGGATGTTCATCTGGGGGTGTGGGTGCTGTTCCAGGCTGTCAGATGCTCACCTGGGGGTGTGCGTGCTGCTCCAGCCTGTCAGATACTCACCTGGGGGTGTGGGTGCTGTTCCAGGATATCAGATGCTCACCTGGGGGGGTGGGTGCTGTTCCAGGCTGTCAGATGCTCGCCTGGGTGTGTGGGTGCTGCTCCAGGCTGTCGGATGCTCACCTGGGGGTGTGGGTGCTGTTCCAGGCTGTCAGATCCTCACCTGGGGGTGTGGGTGCTGCTCCAGGCTGTCGGATGCTCACCTGGGGGTGTGGGTGCTGTTCCAGGCTGTCAGATGCTCACCTGGGGGTGTGGGTGCTGCTCCAGGCTGTCGGATGCACACCTGGGGGTGTGGGTGCAGTTCCACGCTGTCGGATGCTCATCTGGGGGTGTGGTTGCTGCTCCAGGTGGTCAGATGCTCACTTGGGGGTGCAGGGTGCTGTTCCAGGCTGTCAGATGCTCACCTGGGGGTGTGGGTGCTGCTTCAGGCTGTCAGATGCTCACCTGGAGTGTGGGTGCTGCTCCAGGCTGTCTGATCCTCACCCGGGGGTGCAGGGTGCTGTTCCCGGCTGTCAGATGCTCGCCTGGGGGTGTGGTTGCTATTCCAGGCTGTCAGATGCTCACCTGGGGGTGTGGGTGCTGCTCCAGGCTGTCGGATGCTCACCTGGAGGTGAGGATGCCATTCCATGCGGTCAGATGCTCACCTGGGGGTATGGGTGCTGCTCCAGGCTGTCGGATGCTCACCTGGGATTGTGGGAGCTGTTTCAGGATGTCGGATGCTCACCTGGGGGTGTGGGTGCCATTCCAGGCCATCAGATGCTCCCCTGGGTGAGTGGGTGCTGTTCCAGGCTGTCAGGTGCACACCTGGGGATGTAGGGTGCTGTTCCAGGCTGTCAGATGCTCATCTGGGCGTATGGGTGCTGTTCCAGGCTGTCAGATGCTCGCCTGGGGGTGCAGGGTGCTGTTCCAGGCTGTCAGATGCTCATCTGGGCGTATGGGTGCTATTGCAGGTTGTCAGATGCTCGCCTGGGGGTGTGTGTGGTGTTCCAGGGTGTCAGATGCTCACCTGGGGGTGCAGGGTGCTGTTCCAGGCTGTCAGATGCTCACCTGGGGATGCAGGGTGCTGCTCCAGGCTGTCAGATGCTCACCTGGGTGTGTGGGTGCTGTTCCAGGCTGTCACGTGCGCACCTGGGGGTGCAGGGTGCTGTTCCAGGCTGTCAGATGCTCACCTGGGGGTGTGAGTGCTGTTGCATGCTGTCAGATGCTCGCCTGGGGGTGTGGGTGCTCTTCCAGGCTTTCAGATGCTCACCTGGGTGTGTGCGTGCTGTTCCAGGCTGTCAGATGCTCACCTGGGTGTGCAGGGTGCTGTTCCAGGCTGTCAGAGGCTCACCTGGGCATGTGGGTGCTGTTCCAGTCTGTCAGATGCTCACCTGGGGGTGTGGGTTCTGTTCCAGGCTCTCAGATGCTCACCTGTGTGTGTGGGTGCTGCTCCAGACCATCAGATGCGCACCTGGGGGTGTGGGTGCTGCTCCAGGCTGTCGGATGCTCGCCGGGAGGTGTGGGTGCTGCTCCGTGCGTTCAGATGCTCGCCTGGGGGCGTGGGTGCTGCTCCTGGTTGTCAGATGCTCACCTTGGGCTGTGGGTGCTGCTCCACGCTGTCAGATGCTCACCTGGGGGTTTGGGCACTGCTCCAGGCTGTCAGATGCTCGCCTGGGGGTGTGGGCGCTGCTCCAGACTCTCCGATGTTCACCTGTGGTTGTGGGTGCTGCTCCAGACCATCAGATGCTCACCTGGGTGTGTGGGTGCCATTCCAGGCTGTCAGATGCTCGCGTGGGGGTGTGGGTGCTGCTCCAGGCTTTCGGATGCTCACCTGGGGGTGCAGGGTGCTGTTCCAGGCTGTCAGATGCTCACCTGGGGGTGTGGTTGCTGCTCCAGGCTGTCAGATGCTCACTTGGGGGTGCAGCGTGCTGTTCCAGGCTGTCAGATGCTAACCTGGGGTTGTGAGAGCTGTTGCAGGCTGTCAGATGCTCACTGGGGGTGTGCGTGCTGCTCCAGCCTGTCAGATGCTCACCTGGGGGTGTGGGTGCTGTTCCAGGATATCAGATGCTCACCTGGGGGTGTGGGTGCTGCTCCAGGCTGTCGGATGCTCACCTGGGGGTGTCGGTGCTGTTCCAGGCTGTTGGATGCTCACCTGGGGGTGTGGTTGCTGCTCCAGGCTGTCAGGTGCTCACTTGGGGGTGCAGCGTGCTGTTCTGGGCTGTCAGATGCTCACCTGGGGTTGTGAGAGCTGTTCCAGGCTGTCAGATGCTCACCTGGGGGTGTGGGTGCTGTTCCAGGCTGTCAGATGCTCACCTGTTGGTGTGGGTGCTGCTTCAGGCTGTCAGATGCTCACCTGGAGTGTGGGTGCTGCTCCAGGCTGTCTGATCCTCACTCGCGGGTGCAGGGTTCTGTTCCAGGCTGTCAGATGCTTGCCTGGGGTTGTGGTTGCTGTTCCAGGCTGTCAGATGCTCACCTAGGGGTGTGGGTGCTGCTCCAGGCTGTCCGATGCTCACCTGGAGGTGAGGATGCCATTCCTTGCGGTCAGATACTCACCTGGGGGTGTGGGTGCTGCTCCAGGCTGTCGGATGCTCACCTGGGGGTGTGGGAGCTGTTTCAGGATGTCGGATGCTCACCTGGGGGTGTGGGTGCCGTTCCAGGCCGTCAGATGCTCGCCTGGGGGTGTGGGTGCTGTTCCAGGCTGTCAGGTGCGCACCTGGGGGTGCAGGGTGCTTTTCCAGGCCGTCAGATTCTCATCTGGGCGTATGGGTGCTGTTCCAGGCTGTCAGATGCTCGCCTGGGTGTGTGGGTGCTGTTCCAGACTGTCAGATGCTCACCTGGGGGTGCAGGGTGCTGTTCCAGGCTGTCAGATGCTCATCTGGGCGTATGGGTGCTGTTCCAGACTGTCAGATGCTCACCTGGGGGTGCAGGGTGCTTTTCCAGGCTGTCAGATGCTCACCTGGTGGTGTGGGTGCTGCTCCAGGCTGTCAGATGCTCACCTGGGTGTGTGGGTGCTGCTCCAGGCTGTCGGATGCTCGCCTGGGGGTGTGGGTGCTGCTCCGTGCGTTCAGATGCTCGCCTGGGGGTGTGGGTGCTGCTCCAGGTTGTCAGATGCTCACCTTGGGCTGTGGGTGCTGCTCCACGCTGTCAGATGCTCACCTGGTGGTGTGGGCACTGCTCCAGGCTGTCAGATGCTCGCCTGGGGGTGTGGGCACTGCTCCAGACTCTCCGATGCTCACCTGTGGTTGTGGGGGCTGCTCCAGACCATCAGATGCTCACCTGGGGGTGTGGGTGCTGCTCCAGGCTGTCGGATGCTCACCTGTGGGTGTGGGTGCTGCTCCAGACCATCAGATGCTCACCTTGGGCTGTGGGTGCTGCTCCATGCTGTCAGATGCTCACCTGGGGGTGTGGGCACTGCTCCAGGCTGTCAGATGCTCGCCTGGGGGTGTGGGCGCTGCTCCAGACTCTCCGATGCTCACTTGTGGTTGTGGGTGCTGCTCCAGACCATCAGATGCTCACCTGGGGGTGTGGGTGCTGTTCCAGGCTGTCAGATGCTCGCCTGGGGGTGTGGATGCTGCTCCAGGCTGTCGGATGCTCACCTGGGGGTGCAGGGTGCTGTTCCAGGCTGTCAGATGCTCACCTGGAGTGTGGGTGCTGCTCCAGGCTGTCAGATGCTCACTTGTGGGTGTGGGGTGCTGCTCCACGATGTCAGATGCTCACCTGCGGGTGTGGGTGCTATTCCAGGCCGTCAGATACTCACCTGGGGGTGTGGGTGCTGTTCCAGGCCATCAGATGCTCGCCTGGGGGTGTGGGTGCTGTTCCAGGCTGTCACGTGCACACCTGGGGGTGCAGGCTGGTGTTCCAGGCTGTCAGATGCTCACCTGGGGGTGTGGGTGCTGTTACATGCTGTCAGATGCTCGCCTGGGGGTGTGGGTGCTGTTCCAGGCTGTCAGATGCTCACCTGGGGGTGTGTGTGCTGTTCCAGGCTGTCAGATGCTCACCTGGGGGTGCAGGGTGCTGTTCCAGGCTGTCAGAGGCTCACCTGGGCATGTGGGTGCTGTTCCAGTCTGTCAGATGTTCACCTGGGGGTGTGGGTTCTGTTCCAGGCTGTCAGATGCTCACCTGTGGGTGTGGGTGCTGCTCCAGACCATCAGATGCGCACCTGGGGGTGTGGGTGCTGCTCCAGGCTGTCGGATGCTCCCCTAGGGGTGTTGGTGCTGCTCCGTGCGTTCAGATACTCGCCTGGGGGTGTGGTTGCTGCTCCAGGTTGTCAGATGCTCACCTTGGGCTGTGGGTGCTGCTCCACGCTGTCACATGCTCACCTGGGGGTGTGGGCACTGCTCCAGGCTGTCAGATGCTCACCTGGGGGTGTGGGCGCTGCTCCAGACTCTCCGATGCTCACCTTTGGTTGTGGGTGCTGCTCCAGACCATCAGATGCTCACCTGGGGGTGTGGGTGCCCACCCAGGCTGTCAGATGCTCGCCTGGTGGTGTGGGTTCTGCTCCAGACTGTCGGATGTTCATCTGGGGGTGTGGGTGCTGTTCCAGGCTGTCAGATGCTCACCTGGGGGTGTGCGTGCTGCTCCAGCCTGTCAGATACTCACCTGGGGGTGTGGGTGCTGTTCCAGGATATCAGATGCTCACCTGGGGGGGGTGGGTGCTGTTCCAGGCTGTCAGATGCTCGCCTGGGTGTGTGAGTGCTGCTCCAGGCTGTCGGATGCTCACCTGGGGGTGTGGGTGCTGTTCCAGGCTGTCAGATGCTCACCTGGGGGTGTGGGTGCTGCTCCAGGCTGTCGGATGCTCACCTGGGGGTGTGGGTGCTGTTCCAGGCTGTCAGATGCTCACCTGGGGGTGTGGGTGCTGCTCCAGGCTGTCGGATGCACACCTGGGGGTGTGGGTGCAGTTCCAGGCTGTCGGATGCTCACCTGGGGGTGTGGTTGCTGCTCCAGGTGGTCAGATGCTCACTTGGGGGTGCAGGGTGCTGTTCCAGGCTGTCAGATGCTCACCTGGGGGTGTGGGTGCTGCTTCAGGCTGTCAGATGCTCACCTGGAGTGTGGGTGCTGCTCCAGGCTGTCTGATCCTCACCCGGGGGTGCAGGGTGCTGTTCCCGGCTGTCAGATGCTCGCCTGGGGGTGTGGTTGCTATTCCAGGCTGTCAGATGCTCACCTGGGGGTGTGGGTGCTGCTCCAGGCTGTCGGATGCTCACCTGGAGGTGAGGATGCCATTCCATGCGGTCAGATGCTCACCTGGGGGTATGGGTGCTGCTCCAGGCTGTCGGATGCTCACCTGGGGTTGTGGGAGCTGTTTCAGGATGTCGGATGCTCACCTGGGGGTGTGGGTGCCATTCCAGGCCATCAGATGCTCCCCTGGGTGAGTGGGTGCTGTTCCAGGCTGTCAGGTGCACACCTGGGGATGTAGGGTGCTGTTCCAGGCTGTCAGATGCTCATCTGGGCGTATGGGTGCTGTTCCAGGCTGTCAGATGCTCGCCTGGGGGTGCAGGGTGCTGTTCCAGGCTGTCAGATGCTCATCTGGGCGTATGGGTGCTGTTGCAGGTTGTCAGATGCTCGCCTGGGGGTGTGTGTGGTGTTCCAGGGTGTCAGATGCTCACCTGGGGGTGCAGGGTGCTGTTCCAGGCTGTCAGATGCTCACCTGGGGATGCAGGGTGCTGCTCCAGGCTGTCAGATGCTCACCTGGGTGTGTGGGTGCTGTTCCAGGCTGTCACGTGCGCACCTGGGGGTGCAGGGTGCTGTTCCAGGCTGTCAGATGCTCACCTGGGGGTGTGAGTGCTGTTGCATGCTGTCAGATGCTCGCCTGGGGGTGTGGGTGCTCTTCCAGGCTTTCAGATGCTCACCTGGGTGTGTGCGTGCTGTTCCAGGCTGTCAGATGCTCACCTGGGTGTGCAGGGTGCTGTTCCAGGCTGTCAGAGGCTCACCTGGGCATGTGGGTGCTGTTCCAGTCTGTCAGATGCTCACCTGGGGGTGTGGGTTCTGTTCCAGGCTCTCAGATGCTCACCTGTGTGTGTGGGTGCTGCTCCAGACCATCAGATGCGCACCTGGGGGTGTGGGTGCTGCTCCAGGCTGTCGGATGCTCGCCGGGAGGTGTGGGTGCTGCTCCGTGCGTTCAGATGCTCGCCTGGGGGTGTGGGTGCTGCTCCTGGTTGTCAGATGCTCACCTTGGGCTGTGGGTGCTGCTCCACGCTGTCAGATGCTCACCTGGGGGTTTGGGCACTGCTCCAGGCTGTCAGATGCTCGCCTGGGGGTGTGGGCGCTGCTCCAGACTCTCCGATGTTCACCTGTGGTTGTGGGTGCTGCTCCAGACCATCAGATGCTCACCTGGGTGTGTGGGTGCCGTTCCAGGCTGTCAGATGCTCGCGTGGGGGTGTGGGTGCTGCTCCAGGCTTTCGGATGCTCACCTGGGGGTGCAGGGTGCTGTTCCAGGCTGTCAGATGCTCACCTGGGGGTGTGGTTGCTGCTCCAGGCTGTCAGATGCTCACTTGGGGGTGCAGCGTGCTGTTCCAGGCTGTCAGATGCTAACCTGGGGTTGTGAGAGCTGTTGCAGGCTGTCAGATGCTCACTGGGGGTGTGCGTGCTGCTCCAGCCTGTCAGATGCTCACCTGGGGGTGTGGGTGCTGTTCCAGGATATCAGATGCTCACCTGGGGGTGTGGGTGCTGCTCCAGGCTGTCGGATGCTCACCTGGGGGTGTCGGTGCTGTTCCAGGCTGTTGGATGCTCACCTGGGGGTGTGGTTGCTGCTCCAGGCTGTCAGGTGCTCACTTGGGGGTGCAGCGTGCTGTTCTGGGCTGTCAGATGCTCACCTGGGGTTGTGAGAGCTGTTCCAGGCTGTCAGATGCTCACCTGGGGGTGTGGGTGCTGTTCCAGGCTGTCAGATGCTCACCTGTTGGTGTGGGTGCTGCTTCAGGCTGTCAGATGCTCACCTGGAGTGTGGGTGCTGCTCCAGGCTGTCTGATCCTCACTCGCGGGTGCAGGGTTCTGTTCCAGGCTGTCAGATGCTTGCCTGGGGGTGTGGTTGCTGTTCCAGGCTGTCAGATGCTCGCCCCGGGGTGTGGTTGCTGTTCCAGGCTGTCAGATGCTCGCCCCGGGGTGTGGTTGCTGTTCCAGGCTGTCAGATGCTCACCTAGGGGTGTGGGTGCTGCTCCAGGCTGTCCGATGCTCACCTGGAGGTGAGGATGCCATTCCTTGCGGTCAGATACTCACCTGGGGGTGTGGGTGCTGCTCCAGGCTGTCGGATGCTCACCTGGGGGTGTGGGAGCTGTTTCAGGATGTCGGATGCTCACCTGGGGGTGTGGGTGCCGTTCCAGGCCGTCAGATGCTCGCCTGGGGGTGTGGGTGCTGTTCCAGGCTGTCAGGTGCGCACCTGGGGGTGCAGGCTGCTTTTCCAGGCCGTCTGATTCTCATCTGGGCGTATGGGTGCTGTTCCAGGCTGTCAGATGCTCGCCTGGGTGTGTGGGTGCTGTTCCAGACTGTCAGATGCTCACCTGGGGGTGCAGGGTCCTGTTCCAGGCTGTCAGATGCTCATCTGAGCGTATGGGTGCTGTTCCAGACTGTCAGATGCTCACCTGGGGGTGCAGGGTGCTTTTCCAGGCTGTCAGATGCTCACCTGGTGGTGTGGGTGCTGCTCCAGGCTGTCAGATGCTCACCTGGGTGTGTGGGTGCTGCTCCAGGCTGTCGGATGCTCGCCTGGGGGTGTGGGTGCTGCTCCGTGCGTTCAGATGCTCGCCTGGGGGTGTGGGTGCTGCTCCAGATTGTCAGATGCTCACCTTGGGCTGTGGGTGCTGCTCCACGCTGTCAGATGCTCACCTGGTGGTGTGGGCACTGCTCCAGGCTGTCAGATGCTCGCCTGGGGGTGTGGGCACTGCTCCAGACTCTCCGATGCTCACCTGTGGTTGTGGGTGCTGCTCCAGACCATCAGATGCTCACCTGGGGGTGTGGGTGCTGCTCCAGGCTGTCGGATGCTCACCTGTGGGTGTGGGTGCTGCTCCAGACCATCAGATGCTCACCTTGGGCTGTGGGTGCTGCTCCATGCTGTCAGATGCTCACCTGGGGGTGTGGGCACTGCTCCAGGCTGTCAGATGCTCGCCTGGGGGTGTGGGCGCTGCTCCAGACTCTCCGATGCTCACTTGTGGTTGTGGGTGCTGCTCCAGACCATCAGATGCTCACCTGGGGGTGTGGGTGCTGTTCCAGGCTGTCAGATGCTCGCCTGGGGGTGTGGATGCTGCTCCAGGCTGTCAGATGCTCACTTGTGGGTGTGGGGTGCTGCTCCACGATGTCAGATGCTCACCTGCGGGTGTGGGTGCTATTCCTGGCCGTCAGATACTCACCTGGGGGTGTGGGTGCTGTTCCAGGCCATCAGATGCTCGCCTGGGGGTGTGGGTGCTGTTCCAGGCTGTCACGTGCACACCTGGGGGTGCAGGCTGGTGTTCCAGGCTGTCAGATGCTCACCTGGGGGTGTGGGTGCTGTTACATGCTGTCAGATGCTCGCCTGGGGGTGTGGGTGCTGTTCCAGGTTGTCAGATGCTCACCTGGGGGTGTGTGTGCTGTTCCAGGCTGTCAGATGCTCACCTGGGGGTGCAGGGTGCTGTTCCAGGTTGTCAGAGGCTCACCTGGGCATGTGGGTGCTGTTCCAGTCTGTCAGATGTTCACCTGGGGGTGTGGGTTCTGTTCCAGGCTGTCAGATGCTCACCTGTGGGTGTGGGTGCTGCTCCAGACCATCAGATGCGCACCTGGGGGTGTGGGTGCTGCTCCAGGCTGTCGGATGCTCCCCTAGGGGTTTTGGTGCTGCTCTGTGCGTTCAGATACTCGCCTGGGGGTGTGGTTGCTGCTCCAGGTTGTCAGATGCTCACCTTGGGCTGTGGGTGCTGCTCCACGCTGTCACATGCTCACCTGGGGGTGTGGGCACTGCTCCAGGCTGTCAGATGCTCGCCTGGGGGTGTGGGCGCTGCTCCAGACTCTCCGATGCTCACCTTTGGTTGTGGGTGCTGCTCCAGACCATCAGATGCTCACCTGGGGGTGTGGGTGCCATTCCAGGCTGTCAGATGCTCGCCTGGGGGTGTGGTTGCTGCTCCAGGCTGTCGGATGCTCACCTGGGGGTGCAGGGTGCTGTTCCAGTCTGTCAGATGCTCACCTGGGGGTGTGGGTGCTCCTCCAGGCTGTCAGATGCTCACCTGTGGGTGTGGGCTGCTGCTCCACGATGTCAGGTTCTCACCTGGGGGTGTGGATGCTGCTCCAGGCTGTCGGATGCTCGCCTGGGCTTCTGGGTGCTGCTCCAGGCTGTCCAATGCTCACCTGGGGGTGTGGGTGCTGCTCCAGGCTTTCCAATGCTCGCCTGGAGGTGTGGGTGCTGTTGCAGGCCGTCAGATGCTCGCCTGGGGGTGTGGGTTCTGCTCCAGGCTGTCGGATGCTCACCTGGGGGTGTGGGTGCTGTTCCAGGCTGTCAGATGCTCACTGGGGGTGTGCGTGCTGCTCCAGGCTGTCAGATGCTCACCTGGGGGTGTGCGTGCTGTTCCAGGATATCAGATGCTCACCTGGGGGTGTGGGTGCTGCTCCAGGCTGTCGGATGCTCACCTGGGGGTGTGGGTGCTGTTCCAGGCTGTCGGATGCTCACCTGGGGGTGTGGGTGCTATTCCAGGCCGTCAGATGCTCACTTGGGGGTGCAGGGTGCTGTTCCAGTCTGTCAGATGCTCACCTGGGGGTGTGGGTTGTGTTCCAGGCTGTCAGATGCTCACCTGTGGGTGTGGGTGCTGCTCCAGACCATCAGATGCTCACCTGGGGGTGTGGGTGCCGACCCAGGCTGTCAGATGCTCGCCTGTGGGTGTGGGTTCTGCTCCAGGCTGTCAGATGCTCTCCTGGGGGTGTGGGTGCTGTTCCAGGCTGTCAGTTGCTCACCTGGGCGTGTGGGTGCTGCTCCAGGCTGTCGGATGCTCACCTGGGGGTGTGGGTGCTGTTCCAGCCTGTCAGATGCTCACCTGTGGGTGTGGGTGCTGTTCCAGCCTGTCAGATGCTCACCTGGGGTATGGATGCTGCTCCAGACCATCAGATGCTCACTTAGAGGTGGAAGGTGCTGCTTCAGGCTGTCAGATGCTCCCCTGAGTGCAGGGTGCCAACTTAGTTTCTCAGCTGCTCACCCAAAATCGTGAGTTGTTGTTTGAGTCCATCAGAGGCTCACCTAATTGGTGGTACCGTTCCAGGCTGTCCGATGATCACCTGGTGGTGGAGGGTGTTTTTCCGGCTGTCAGATGCTCATCTGAGGGTGGAGGGTGCTGTTCTAGGTTGTCAGATAATCACCTGAAGGTTGGAGAGGGGTGGTGCTGTAGGGTTTCAGATGCTCACCTGGGTGTGGGGGTGACTTCCCAGGCTGTCAGATGCCCTCCTGGTATGCAGGGTGATGTTCCAAGCTGTCAGATACTCACCAGGGGGTGTGGGGTGCTGTTCCAGGCTCTCAGACACTCAGCTGAAGATTGAAGTGCTGATCCAGGCTGTCAGATTCTCACCTAAGTGTGGTGGTGCCATTCTAGGCTGTCAGATGCTCACCTGGGTGTGTGGGGTGGCGTCCTTGGCTGTCAGATGCTTACCTGCGTGTGTGGGGTTGTGTTTCGGATTGTCACAAGTTCACCTGGGGCTGGAGAATGCTGCTCCAGTCTGTCCCATACTCATCTATGGGTTTGGGTGCCATTCAATGCTGTCAGATGCTCACCTGCCGGTGTGGAGTTCTATTCCAGGTTGTCAGATCCTCACCTGGGATTGGAGAATGCTGTTTCAGGCTGTCACACATTCACCTCGGGGTGTGAGTGCCGTTCCAGGCAGTCAGATGCTCACCTTGGCCTGTGAGGTGCAGTTTTAGGCTGTGAAGTGCTCACCTGGTGCTGGAGGGTACTGTCCCAGGCTGCAAAGTTGCTCACCTGGGGGTTTGGGGTGCCGTTCCAGGCTTTCTGATGCTTACCTGGGGGTGTGACATACCGTTCTAGGCTGTCAGATGCCCCCCCGAAGGCGTGGAGTGCTGTTTCAGGCTATCAGATGCTTATTGGGGGTTTGGGGTGCCATTTGGATGGTGTGATGCTCACCTGGGGGGTTGGGGTGTCATTTAGGGCTGTCAGATGCTCACCTGGGGGTGTGGGTGCTGTTGCAGCCTGTCAGCTGCTCACCTGTGGTGTGGGTCTGGTTTCAGGCTGTCAGAGGCTCACCTGGGGGTGTCAAGTGCTGTTTCCTGCTGTCAGATGCTCACCTTGCATGGGGGAGAGCTGATCCAGGGTTTCAGATGCTCACCTGGGGGTCAGGGTGACATTCTACGTTGTCAGAGTCTCATCTGTGGGTGTGAGGTGCTGTTCCCGACTGTCAGATGCTCACCTGGGGGTGTGGGGTGCTGTTGCAGGCTCTCAGACACTCACCTGAAGGTCGAAGTGCTGATCCAGGCTGTCAGATTCTCACCTCAGGGTAGTAGTGCCATTCTTGGCTATCAGATGATCCCCTGGGGGTGGAGGGTGCTGTTTTCGGCTATCACATGCTCACCTGGGGTAGTGGGGTCCTGTTCCAGATTGTCACAAGCTCACCTGGGGTTGGAGAATGCTGTTCCAGGCTGTCACACACTCACCTGTGGGTGTGAGGTGCTGTTCCAGGCTGTCAGATGCTCACCTGGGGATGTAGAGTGCCATTCCAGGCTGTCAGATGCTCACCTGAGGGTGTAGAGTGCCATTCCAGGCTGTCAGATGCTCACCTGAGGGTGTGGGGTGCCATTCCAGGCTGTCAGAAGCTCACCTGGGGATGTAGAGTGCCATTCCAGGCTGTCAGAAGCTCACCTGAGGGTGTAGAGTACCATTCCAGGCTGTCAGATGCTCACCTGGGGATGCAGAGTGCCATTCCAGGCTGTCAGAGGCTCACCTGGGGATGCAGAGTGCCATTCCAGGCTGTCAGATGCTCACCTGGGGATGCAGAGTGCCATTCCAGGCTGTCAGAAGCTCACTTGGGGATGCAGAGTGCCATTCCAGGCTGTCAGATGCTCACCTGGGGATGCAGAGTGCCATTCCAGGCTGTCAGAAGCTCACTTGGGGATGCAGAGTGCCATTCCAGGCTGTCAGATGCTCACCTGAGGGTGTGAGGTGCCATTTAAAACTGTCAGATGATCAGCCAGGTGCGATGACTCGTGCTTGTAATCCCAGCACTTTGGGAGGCCGAGGTGGGTGGATCACCAGGAGTTCAAGACCAGCCTGGTCAACATGGTGAAACCCCGTCTCTACTAAAAATACAAAAATCAGCCTGTAGTCGCAGCTACTCAGGAGGCTGAGGCAGGAGAATCGATTAAACCTGGGGGCGGTGGTTGCAGTGAGCCAAGATCGCACCACTGGCCTGTAGCCTGGGCGACAGAGAGAGACTCCATCTCAAAATAAAACAAAACCATCAGATGCTCACCTGAACATGAAGGGTGCTGTTCCAGGCTGTCAAATGCTCACCTTGGGGTGGTGAGTGCTGCTGGAGGGTTTCAGATGCTCACCTGGGTATGGGCACTGCTGTTCCAGGCTGTCAGGTGCTCACCTGAAGGTTTGAGCGTTGATCCAGGCATTCAGATTCTCACCTAACTGGGGGGTGCCGTTCTAGGCTGTCAGATGCTTATGTGGGTTGTCATTCCTGGCTGTCAAATGATCACCTAAGGGTGGAGGGTGCTGTTTTAGGCTGTCAGATGCTCACCTGGGGTTGTGGGGTCCTGTTCCAGATTGTCACAAGCTCACCTGGGGTTGGAGAATGCTGTTCTAGGCTGTCACACACTCATCTGTGGGTGTGGATACCGTTCCAGGCTGTAAGACACTCACCTGGGGGTGTGGGGTGCTGTTTCAGGCTGGAAGATGCTCACCTGGGGGTGGAAGGTGCCGTTCCAGGCTGTAAGATTTTCACCTGTTGGTTGGGGGTGGTGCTATAGGGTTTCAGATGCTCAACTGGGTGTGGGGGTGCATTCCCAGGCTGTCAGATACTCACCTGGGGGTGTGGGGTGCTGTTCCAGGCTGTAAGATGCTCCCCTAGGTGTGTGGGGTGCCATCCTTGGCTGTCAGATGCTCAGCTGGGTGTGTAGGGTTCTGTTTTGGATTGTCGCAAGTTCACCTGGGGCTGGAGAATGCTGCTCCAGTCTGTCCCACACTCACCTGTGAGTGTGGGTGCCATTCCAGGCTGTCAGATGTTCACCTGTGCTCACCTGGGAGTGTGCGGTGCTGTTCCAGGCTGTCAGATGCTCACCTGTGGGTGTGGGGTTCTATTCCAGGCTGTAAGATGCTCCCCTGGGGTGTGGGGTGCTGTTCCAGGCTGTAAGATGCTCCCCTGGGGTGTGGGGTGCTGTTCCAGGCTGTCAGATGCTCACCTGGGGATGTGGGTGCCATTCCAGGCTCCTGACAGCTGTATAAACTGGATATAATGCATGAGCAAATGTTTCCAGGCACCAAACAACAGGCAGCAAAGAGCTGTGACCTGAGAGACAGGAGGCCGCAGAGAGGCTTTTCTGAACATCTTGGGCATTCAGTTGAGACCCCAGAAAGGCCACACCCTAAAATTAAGATTGTACTTTAGGACTAAGTTCAAAAACGAATCCTCCCCTAGCAAAGTACAAGATAAAGCCTGGCAGGGCCAAAATGATCCACCAGTAATCTACCTGCCCCCCAGAGTGAAATCAGCCCCCTTGCAGGACAGCACCACAGCCCTGTCTACCACATGCCAGACACAGAGCCCAGCGCAAAACCAAGAACTGCTAGGCACACAGAGAACCAGGGAAATGGGACCCGTAATAAGAGAAGAAGTACTTCATAGAAACAGACCCTGAGATGGCTTAGAGGTTTGGAATTTACACACAGGGGCTTTTAAAAGCAGTGACATAAACATGTAAAAGAAATGTTTGCTAGAATGAGTGAGCTTGATGGAGAATCCTAGCAGAGGAATATGAAAAAAAAAAACAGTAATAATCAAGTGGAGATCCTAGATCTGAAACGCAGCATATCTGGAATTAAAAACTTACTAGGCAGGCACAACAGCAGATTGGAAACTGCCAAAGCAGGATTAGTGAACTCAAGTATAGACCAAAGAAAATTATCCAATCTAAGGAAATTATCCAATCTAAGGAAAAGCAGGGAAAACAAAAAACAAAAAACAAAACTCTGTTTCAAACGATGAGAGCTGAGCTGAGCATCATGGCTCACACCTGTAATTCCAGTACTTTGGGAGGGCGAAGTGGCAGCATCACTTGAGCCCAGGAGTTTGAGACCAGCCTGGGCGACAGAGTGAGACTCCCTCTCAAAATAAAAGAAAGAAAAAAAAATTTTCTAGAAGAGATGGAGTCTCACTCTGTCACCTAGGCTGGAGTGCAGTGCCACAATCTCAGCTCACCGCAACCTCCACCTCCTGGGATCAACCAATTCTCCTGCCTTAGCCTCCTGAGTAGCTGGGACTACAGGCACCCACCACTATGCCTGGCTAAGTTTTGTATTTTTATTGTATTTTTAGTAGAGACGGGGTTTCACCATGTTGGCCAGGATGGTCTCGATCTCCTGACCTCTGGATCTGCCCACCTCAGCCTCCCAACATGCTGGGATTACAGGCGTGAGCCACTGCACCTGGCCTCTAAAAAACTTTTAAAAATTAAAAAAATAAATGAAGAAACCTTCAGTGACCGGTGGGACAATTTCAGGCCATCTAGCATACATGTGATTGGACTCCCAGAGAATACGGAGAATGAATGGGACAAATATACACAGGTATTTGAAGAAATAACAGCAGAAAAATTCCCAAGAAGCTCAACAAATCCCAAGAGGAAAAATAGAAAGAGAACCACCCCTAAGAAGGCACATCTTGGTCAAGTTCCTGAAAAAAAAAGATAAAGAGAACATCTTAAAAGCAACCAGAGGGGTGAACAAATGACATACAACAACACGAATGACAGCAGATTTGTCCCAGAAACAATGGAACCCAGAAGACAATGGGACAGCACCTTTAAGGCACTAAAAGAAAAAAGTACCAAGCCAGAATTATCCATCTTGTTAAAATGTCCTTCAGAAACGAGGGTGACATTAAAGACCCGTTAGACAAATGGAAGCTGAGAGATTCGTCATCAGTGAATGACACCACAGCAGATCCTGAGGGAAGGTGGTGAAATTGAAGAGAACTGATGCCTGATAGAAATTCTCTGCTGGAAGAAATGAAAAGCATCTGCAAATACAAAATGATGTATTTATTTCTTCTTTTAATTTCTTTGAACAAAGCTATCTAAATTAAAAACAGGCCAGGTGTGGTAGCTCACACCTGTAATGCCAGTACTTTGGGAGGCCAAGGTGGGAGGATGGCTTGAGACCAGAAGTTCCATACCAGCCTGGGCAATATATCAAGACCCCATTTGTACAAAAAGATTTTAAAATGAGCTGGGTGTGGTGGCATGTGCCTGTGGTCCCAGCTACTCCGGAGGCAGAAGTGGGAGGATCACTTAAGCCCAGGAGCTCAAGGTTGCAGTGAACCAAGATCATGCCACTGCACTCCAGCCTGGGCAACAGACAGAGACCCTGTCTCAAAATATATATATAATTAATTCACTTGAAATAATGCACTATGTGAGGAAATGCATCGCTCAGTGTAGGACAACGATAACACAAAGTATGGGAATAATGGAATTTACTGCTGTGGGGATCTCACATATTAGGTAAAGTGGCCCCATATTAACTGTACATAGACTGTGGTAGGGTGCTCACCTGGGAGCTGGGGGCTTGTTCATAGCTGTAAGGCTACGTATTGTAATCCACAAGGCAATTGCTAGAAAGATAATATAAAGAGGCATAGTTAGGGCCAGGCGCGGTATTGTGCACCAGATGGGCTGGGCACCCTCCTTCCACTGCTTCTGGGAGTTACGGGAGAGCAGTAACTGGGCTTTCTACCCTTCCGGCGTCCCCAAGACCACAGGCACTGGGAGCAGCACCCGGATACCCAAGGAGCTCCAGCGTCCCCCACTGTGAGGTGACAGATGCCCCTGTGGGGAGGGACAGGCGTGGAGGGAGCCAGCTACAAGCTGGGAGAGCGAGGGACCCAGGGAGGGCTCACAGACCGCAGGCAGCCTCAGGAGATGGAAATTAGCAGCGTTTGGCCTCAGAAAAGGGGTTCTGAGCCTGACAACTTTCAGAGTCAAGGTCAGTGAGCTGAGTCCCCTCAAATGCTAACCAGAATCAGGAGGGATGGTAGGAGGCTGCAGCCACAGAGAAGCAGGAAGGGGCAGGAAGCTGGGTGTTCAGACCCTCTAGGACCCCAGGGAGAAGATCAGGGAATGAGAAAGACAGAGCCAGTCCTCCTACTCTGACCCTCTGCCCAGTTTCTCTACTTAGGACAACTCTGCACCCGCCCGCCCTCCCTCCTTGCAGGAAGCCGTGGACGACATCGTCTCTGCTCTGAAGCTCGGCCCCGGGACTGTGGTCCCTGAGCTCCGCTCTCTGAAGCCGGAAGCCCAGGCCCTCATCACACAGGGCCTCTACTCCCACTGCCGGGCCCTTCTGAGCCAGCTGCCAGACACTGGGGCCCCTCTCGAGGACAAGGACACCCAGGGCCTCCTTGCTGTGGGGGAGGCGCTGATCAAAATCGACTCAGGGCAACCGCACTGGCACCTCCTCCTGGCAGACATTCTCATGGCACAGGGTATGCGGCGGCCCCAAGGTGGGAAACACGGGGTCTGGGCTTCTGTCCCCGCTCCTCTGACCTCTGTATCCTGTTCTGTAAAAATGGAAGAAAGAGACCCGGACCACAACAGCTTCCAAGGTCCCTTCCACCCCAAATCCCATGACCTCTGGCCCTGCTCCCTGTGTGAGGCCTGGCGTTCAAAAGGCTCTCCTCTGCTTTACCCGGGTGGCTCTTTGCTTGCAATGGAGGAGAAACCGAGGGGTGATCTTGGTCTTTGAAAGGTCTTGGACCCTCGGCCCCCTCATTCATCCATGCACCTCCAGTCGTTGTTTCTCGGGCACCCACGGGATGGCAGGCCCTGTTCCAGGAGGAACTGTCAGAAGCCCCATGGGCCGACATGCAGGCCCTTCCCGCGGATTTCCACATCCCCCTGGTGATGTGGAAACCACTTCACCACTAATTCCAAAGGGGAGCTCTCTCTGCAGTCTGCATTTGCCCACCAAGGGCTTCAGGGGCCCCAGGGCTGCTCCCCACATGCCACTCTGCGCCAGCAGGCCCAGAGTTTGCCTCTAGTTGCCCGGGAGAGAAAGCAGCCCCTTGTAGTGCCCACGGTGTGGTAGCTCAGCATCATGGAGTGGGGTCAGAGGTGAGTCCCTGTGACCTGCCTGGAATCACGGTGCACCTCTGCTCCCAGCTCCTTCTTCC
This sequence comes from Homo sapiens, assembly GCF_000001405.40. NCBI lineage: Eukaryota > Metazoa > Chordata > Mammalia > Primates > Hominidae > Homo > Homo sapiens. Next base: position 195,391 of record NT_187515.1, on the reverse strand, counting down.
TGGGCTGAGCCATCATCAGCTCCCCGCAAGCCAGCACAGGGCAGGGAAGGAGCGGCCAGCGAGTCTCAGCTCTCTCGCACCTCTGCCCAACCCCACACACTGACTGTCCCTCCTGAATCCCTGACAGGCAGCTACGAGGAAGCTGGCACCCACCTGGAAAAAGCCCTGCACCGTGCCCCAACGTCAGAGGCAGCCCGGGCCCGGCTGGGCCTGCTCCAGCTCAAGAAGGGAGACGTGCCAGGGGCTGCAAGGGACCTGCAGAGCCTGGCCGAGGTGGATGCCCCGGATCTCAGCTGCCTGCTGCATCTCCTGGAGGCCTCGGAGCGGCAGAGCCTTGCCCAGGTGCCCAAAGAACCCCACAGATCTCCCACCCCAACCTTCCCCAGCACACAGGCATGAGACCCCCGGGCCCACCACTGGGGCAGCCTTTCTTCACTCTCTGCGGTTGGGTTGATTTCAGTTAGGTTTGGGGTGGGGTGGGAGGCACCCACTTCTGGCCCAGGAAGACGGTCTCTGGCCACCTTAGCCCTACAACCCCACCGACCTCTCAGCCTCTTTGTATGGGAAGTATAAGCCACAGGTGACTTGGGTGCAAGAGAGGGAAGAGGACCTTGCCCTCAGGGCCAGACTGAGCCAGCCAGGGGCACCTTGCCCGGCAGGAAGCCCACCCCAAACCCATGGCAGGCCGGGAGAAGGCACGTGGGGACAAGGCAGGCTGGGAGGCCAAGAGCACAGCAGGCTTTGGGGTCCCAGAGGCAGAACTACACCCCAGTGGGGCCTGGGCAGGATTTCACCTCCTTAATGCTTCCTGACACCAGCGGGTTCTAGCACTCCGGGGCCACTTAGGAAAACAGAAACCACACTAGGAAGAACAGGGAGCTCATGGCGGAGTCGGGGCTACACCAGTGTAAGGGGCAGTTCGGTGCTGCAGAGGGGGCGCCGCTGCCCCCCCCCGAGCTGAAGAGCAACGCTGAGATTGGGTTATCGGGACCTAGAGGAGGCGGCCGGGCTGGGCGGGGTGGGGTCTCAGAGCTCCCAGAGGGACTGGGCGTTTCCAAGCCAGGAGGAGGGGTCTGTGCTGGGGTCTTCGAGGTGGGAGCAGGGCCTGGCAGGGGGCGGGAAGCCTGGCTGGGGCCATGGTCCCGGAGCCCAGAGGAGGCGGCTAGATGGGGTCTCCTGAACGGGGGTCACCGAGCCCGGAGGCGGGGCTGGACGCGGGTCTCCGAGGCTGCAGAATACGGCTGGGCTGCGGCGCCAGGAGGCGGCTCCCGGCACAGGCAAGAATCTGCAGGACGCGAAATGGTTGCCTGGAGACGGGGACCCACCCGGAAATGAGCCAACAGTGGTTTCGCCCCGCTTCCTGCGCCCCGCCCCTCGGCAGGCGGCCCCCTCCGGGTGGCACTGCGCCTGCGCGGCCCGAGCCGCGGGCTCAGGGGAGTCTGGGGTCGGATTGAGCGCCCTTCCCCACTGGGGCGGCCTGGGGGCTCCCGGGGTCCGACAGCTGCTCGGGGCCTCGCCCTCCTGCTGCCATGGACCCGGCCCAAATGTGCGGGTCCTGCGCGGGCCGAGGCTTCACTACCACCCCGGGCCGTGAACTACGGGTCGGGGTCAGGTGCCTCCGCCCGGAGAGGGGCGGTCCCGCGGGCCGCACCGCAGGCGAGGGACGGGGTTTCGAGCCCCTGCCCTGCTCAGCGCCGCTCACAGCTGGCAGAAGAGGCCACACTGTGCCCTGCGGGAGCCCAGCAGCAAAGCCGGGGCCGTGGGACCCCCTCGCTCCCTGCACGGACCCCGGGCGTGGGCCTCGGCTTCGCCCCGTGCGGCCAAGCCTGGCGGGGTCCTGGGTGCGCTGCGCCCCCCGGGGGAGGTAGCGTCGAGGACCGCCGGGCTGCTGGAAGAGAGGCAGCGCCAGCGAGAAAGGCGGGGCCTGCACCTTGGCGTGTTCCTCAGGCAGCGGGGAACCCCTGCAGGTTCTTGAGCGGAGGAGGAGCCCAGCGAGGCGAGCGGATTTCTGGTCGTGGTTGACTCTGTGAAAAAACTGGGTCAGAGATGAGGCGATTGGGCCTGGGTGGGCTCAGGAAAGTGCCCGGGAGGAGTGGGGGGGGCAGGCAGGCCTGGCCAGCAGCAGCCCACAGCACAGGCTGTGCCCTCCGTCCAGCAGCCCCAGGGAGAGGGGCTAGGGTGCACGTGCTCAGAGGCCTGGAGCAGCCTTCAGAAGGTGGGCAGAGTGGAAGGGCTGGGCAGCAGCCCCCTCAGAGGGCCCGATGGAGAGGTGACTTGGCCCAGAGGGACCGAGGGAGGAGGCCGGTGTGGTCACCCAGGCAAGGGAACCTGGGCCCAGCCGGTGGGGCGGTAGGGCTGCCAGGAGGGGACCATGAGGAGGTAAATCCAGGTCCCTGATCCGAGGCCCAGGGAGAAGAGCAGTGGGCAAGGATGCCAGGCCTTGGGCCAAGGGTCGGAACAGCACTTTGGCAGGTTCCAGGGCAGTGGGAATTGCAGGGAGGGGTCCTCTACCCTGGGTCCCCCTTCCTGCCCTTGCCCATGGTCAGCCAGCCCCTCCAGAAGCAGCGGGCAGCTCCTGTGCAGCCCAGGGCCCCGCCATCCCCAGGGAGCCAGCAGAAGCTGGCTGTGCAGAGGACCTCTGCAGGGCAGGGGCGGCCGGGCTTTTGGGGCTGACCCCACTCTCCCTGCCTCTCTCTGTGTCCTCTGTGCAGGCGGCGGCCCAGGAAGCCGGCACCCTCCTGGACGCAGGGCAACCCAGGCAGGCGCTGGGCTACTGTTCGCTGTCTGTCCTGGCCAGTGGCAGCAGTGCCTGTCACCTGCGTCTGCGGGCCACCTGCCTGGCCGAGCTGCAGGAGTTTGGCCGGGCCCTTAGGGACCTGGACCATGTGCTCCAGGAGGCGCTGGGGGATGGTGACCTCCCAAGGCGGGCAGAGGACTTCTGCCGTCAGGGTCGCCTGCTGCTGAGCCTGGGGGATGAGGCGGCGGCCGCAGGGGCCTTTGCCCAGGCCCTGAAGCTGGCGCCCTCCTTGGCCCAGAACAGCCTGTGCAGGCAGCCAGGCCGGGCCCCCACTGCACGCATGTTCCTTCTCCGCGGGCAGTGCTGCCTGGAGGAGCAGCGTCACGCAGAGGCCTGGACGGCGGTAGAGAGCGGCCTCCTGGTGGACCCCGACCACCGTGGCCTGAAGAGACTGAAGGCCAGAATCCGGAGGGAGGCATCCTCAGGCTGCTGGCTACAGTGACTGGGCCTGACCCTCTCCCAGCCCTAATCACGGGGCCACCCTAGCATCTGCACCTGATGTCCAGGCCCAGGGGTGTACCCAGCTCCCTAAATCGGGGAGGTACCTGCCCTGCCCTCTCCACACCCCCTTCCCAGCCCTCCCCACACACCCCTTCCCAACCCTCCCCACAACCCCCCTTCCCAACCCTCCCCACAGCCCCCCTTCCCACCCTCCCCACACACCCCTTCCCAGCCCTCCCCCTTCCCAGCCCTCCCCACACCACCTTCCCAGCCCTCCCCATACCTCCCTTCCCAGCCCTCCCCATACCTCCCTTCCCAGCCCTCCCCACACCCCCCTTCCCTGCCCTCCCCACACCCCGCTTCCCTGCCCCAGCATGAGTCAGTGTTGGACAGCCAGCCTCACACCTCTGCCTTGGGAAGGACAGGGGACAGCTTCCTACTTGCATGAAGGGACCATCCTAGAAGCTTCACAGTCCCTTCTACCACCAGCAACCTGGTCCCTGCAGTTGGGGCCCTCTTGGCCCACACCTGGGGCTCAGACCTTGAAGAAGCAGCCCCAGGTCTCGTCCCTGGCCTGGGATCCTACAGGTTGGACAGGTTTGAGGCCAGACTCCTGGGGCCCTTGGGGAGATGGTACCAGCCCCAGAAGCCCCTCCCTGGGTGTGAAGCTGCGTTTTGCTTGGACCCTGAGCCTTGGGCCAGCCTCCAGTAGAGCCTGAGCCCTCTCCAGAGACAGAGCTCCCAAATGGGCCCAGCCAGCCCATACCCCAAGCTGACCTTTCAGGGTGCTTTCATGGGGGCCCTTCATCGAGAATCCAGTGTGCTGGGGGTAAACTTCCTCCCTCCTCCACAGGCCCCTCCCTTCCAAGCAGAGGGACCACCGAGGGGCCCTGATGAGCACAGTCCCCAGGCTCCCACCAGACCTGTCTCCCGAAGCTGCTGGGAGGTATCAGTGCTTCCACAGAGCGAGAGAACAGCTTGTTCCTATACGTGCGTTAAATGTCCCCAGGCCTTGCAGCTGCCAGTGAGCTTGGGGACTTCTGGGTGGGGCAGAGGCAGCCAGCCTTTGCCCATCACTGTGAGTGTCACAGACTGAGGCCTCAGCCCGGGGCTTTCTCTCATGGCCATGGGCGAGAGACATGCTGGGTGAGCTGACTCGGTGCAAAACGTGCCCCCAAGCCCTGCCTGACTTCACCCTGGGGAGACAGGGCCACGACCCCCCCTCCTGGCTTCTCTCTCCTCCTGGGCACTTGCATTTGTCCCATTTCTGTCCCCTTCTCTGCCGCTTCCTTCCATGGTCTTGAACCCACAGATAGACCCCCTGCCTCTCCACCCACTTCGCTTCTGGGATCATCTGACGAACCCCAGTCCAGGGGGTCAGGCAGGGAGGGGCCCTATTCCTCGCCCTGCATGGAAGTGGGGCCCCCAGGCGGCAGGTGCAGGGCTGGGTAGCCCCCCTCCTCCTCAGGCCTCACCCACTCCTCAACCCCCATGCACCTTCATCAGCTGGCACCGCCTATGTGTCTCTGGCCACAGGGGTCTGGGTAAAGGGTCAGTGCCTCCCACCTTGAGTACCTCGGGGATGGGCAGCCCACAGTGGGAGAGGGCCCTGACAGGGACCTTCAGCCCCGCTCCTCGCCTTCCCCGCTCGGAATCTTCACGCAGTCCCCCTCTTCCGGGGTTCCCCAGCGCAGGCACCAATTTGATCCATCTTCCGCCTGCCAGCTCCCCATCCACCCTTCCCTCCCTGTCTTCACCCGTGTGCTCAAGGACTCAACAAACACCTGTCAGCAGCCCAAGAGCTAAGTTCAGGGACACGCAAGTTCCTCGGGTCAGGTGGGCCAGTCGGCACTGAGGCAGAGGAGGCAAGGGCTGGTCCAGAGAGCCTGGTCACAGCAGAAGGGCCTGCTCCAATGTCGGGGCCAGGTGGAGGCAGTGGGGAGGCGTCCCCTAGGGGTGCCCTTCCCCACCACGTTCCCTGCTCCTACCGTCCTCCTCGCCTGGGATGTCCTGCCCCATCCATCCGTGCAAGGCTGAGTGTAGATGCCAGCCCCGCTGAGGCTCCTCCTGGACCTCAGGATCGCTGTGTTTCTCCCCCACCAGGGGGCTGCCCCCTCTACCACCAGCTCACCCAGCAGGTATCTCTCATCAGCCTTTGGCCTGGCTCCTTGCTGGGCTCTGAATGTCTGCATTCCCCCAAACTTTATGTGTTGCGATCCTAACCCCCAAGGTTATGGTATCAGAAGTGGGGCTTTTGGGAGATGACCAGGGGTGGAACCTCATGAGTGGGATTAGTGTCCTTATAAAAGAGACCCCAGAGTTCTCCCAAGCCCCTCCACCATGTGGAGACCCAGTGAGAAGCTGTCTGTGAACCAGGAAGGGATCCTCACTAGAGAGCGAGCTGGCACCTTCATCTTGGGCTTCCAGCCTCCAGAACTGTGAGAAATAAGTATCTGTTGATGAACCACCTGTCTCTGCTATTCTGTTGGGGCAGTCCAGATAGACAAAGACATGCCCGTTCCCGCGGCCCACCACCTCTGCCCTGAGCACAGTGGGTGAGTCTCGGTTCCCCTTATCCCATCCCTGCTGGGGTCCAGCCCTGGCTTTTCCTGAGGTAGTTTCTCCAGGACCAAGCAGACACCCACAACCAGCAGCCCTTAAGGCATGGACGCACTCGTCCCTGAGGCCTGGGTGTCCCGCCTGGAGGGGCATGTCCACAGCTGCTCTGGGTCCTGACGCTCCAGGAGCTCACGCTGTCTGCAGATCCACCACTTCCCTGGGCAGCCCCCGGCCTGCGTCTTCCTCAGTGCTCAGCTGGAGGTGGAGAGAAATCAGGCTGGGACGGAGGGTGGCCCTTGCTTTGCACGATTCCTGCCTCGACGTTACACCAGGGACATTCCAGCATCTCCCCTTCATTAACTGTAGACCGCCAGCAAATCCAGATTTCATTCAACCAAGTAAACTGGTAGAGTCATTTCCAGCAGCTAATGTGAGCTAGCGCATTAAATTCAGAATCTCTAGTAAGTGTACCTGCATCAATAAAGCCAAGCCGGTCCAGCTGCATTAATACCCTACCCTCCATTCCCACACGGTTCCCAGGTCTCCGTGTGTGAATTTGTAACATCTTACGAGCATTTTGGTGTGAAAGTGGTTCCTTCCTGAGTCAGGCTTTGTACTTGACCCTTCCCCTCCCTGGGAGTACACTGAGGTTCTAGAGGCAACAGGGTGGCTATGGTGGTTAAATAAAATGAGCATCATTTCTAGGCACCTGGCCAGGTAAGCTTATCACAGCATTTTCAAGCAGAACAAAAAAAATAAATAAAGGCTACTCTCAGATCTTGGAGGACAAGCTGCTTCCCCTGGAAGGAGAGGCTCAGAGAACCAGGGGGTTCACAATTCTCAGCTTCATCTGAGCCCAACCAGACATCCCCATGCCAAGCTTCAGCATCCAGTTCCTTCCCACTCAGTGCCCACGTTTCAGTAGTGAGGCTGTGAGTGTGAGCCACACAGCAGTCACACAACTCAGAGTTAAACTGTGCATCCGAGTTGTAGCAGCAGCAGCCCCGAGGCTCTCAGGAACAAGGGACTCTTCCATGGCCATGGCAGTCCTGATTCTCTGTCTATGACTTAAACTGAGTTTAGAGACCTGAACGTGTGGTTCCTTCCTGTTAGTGCTGCTGGACACTCAGGGGACCCCCCACAGCCCTCGTGGTTGTGGTCATCCTCGTGGCCGTGACAGCCTCACACAGCAGCACGTGGGTTCCCGAGGCCCTCAATTCTGCTGGTGCCTCACAGCCAGCATGGGGGATGGCTTGGTTAACTGTGAAGCTCCCCCAACAACACTGTGGGCCAACAGCCTCCCCTTCCCACTGGCCAGGAGATCGGCCTGCAGCCCAGCCCAAGCAACAACCACACTAACCTAATCCCCGGACCCCACCTTTTGATAGTGACAGGAGGCAGACAAATCCTAGGCAGACAGGGACAGGTTCCCAGTGAAACCCCACCTCCGAGCCAAAGACAGTTTAAAGCCTGAAAGCCAAGCTACAAATTAAATCCTCAGCCTGGATTGAGAACCCATCTTCCCATTTGGCTGCTTTCCTCTGATTGATCCCCACCCTTCACCTATTTTACATGTACCTATCTTTTCCTAATTCATTTTCTACACTGGCATGCCCACCTTTGAGTGGTACCTTTGTTTAAGCCTTTTTTGCATAATCAGAAGCCAATCAGCATGCACTCCCCCATTCTGAGCCCATAAATGCCCCGGACCCAGCCACACTAGGAGAGAAACCACCTGACTTCAGGTCGGGAACCACCCGTGCATCCCCTCTCTGCTGAGAGCTGTTCCGTCTCTCAATAAAATTCTTCTCTGCCCTTCTCACACTTCGATTGGCAGCATCTCCTCATTCTTCTTGGACACGGGACAAGAACTTGGGAACTGCCATACATGGGTACAAGCTATAACACAAGCAGGCTGGAACATGCCCAGCCCAGCCACAGGCTGAGCTGGTGAACAGCCAGGTGTGGCCCAGGCAGGCTGAGTGGGTGGGCCACCTCCTGCGGCAGGTAGCATGGCCAAGAGAGGCCTGGGGAGGGGGGGTGTCAGCAGCCAGAGGTACCTGGCTGGCAAAGTGACCAAAGAGGTACCTGACTGTGTCACTTTGAGGGCCTGTCTCTGGGGACCCCCTCCTAGTATGAATTTATGTATCAGTTGGGGTCTACTTGGGAGATGGAAACCACAACAGTGATTCTAATAGCATGAATTTAATGTGCAGAATTTTTCATTAGTTCTGGGTAAAAACAGCTCTAGGGAATCATGGAGGTTGCAACCACAAAATTCAGAGAGGTGACCTGGCTGGCGACACTGGTGATAATGGTCACCTGCCATGCAGCCTTTCAGCTCAGGTGGGCACACTCCTCTGCCCCTGCCCACTTCCTCTCCCAGGTGAATCTTGACCACACCTGTGCCTGGCACTGTGCACACATTCTCTGTTGTTCAACTCTGCGATCAATCTGGAAAAAAAAGAAAAAAAAAAAACCTTTTTAGGAGAGTAAAAGGAAAATAAATCTTGGGGCCCCAAAATCACTAAGCCAAAGGGAAAAGTCAAGCTGGGAACTGCTTAGGGCAAGCCTGCCTCCAATTCCATTCAAAGTCATTCCCCCGCTCGCTGAGATAGATGCATATCTGATTGCCTTCTTTGGAAAGGCTCATCAGAAACTCAAAAGAATGTAACTCTATCTTACATGTGTTGATTGATGTCTCATATCTCCCTAAAATGTATAAAACCAAGCTGTCCTCTGACCACCCTGGGCACATGTCAGGACCTCCTGAGGCTGTGTCACAGGTGTGCATCCTTAATTTTGGCAAAATAAACTTCCCAAATTGGCTGAGACCTGTCTCAGATTTTTGGAATTCACAAGTGAGGAGGCAGAGGCTCCAGCTACTGGGGATGGGCTGGTGGCTCAATGACACAGATTTTGGGGCAGCGGGACCACTGGGCCCCTTCCCTCCTGCCCTGGATACCCAGGGCCTGACTTCAGGAGGCAGCTGACAAGGAAGGTGGGGACCCCAGAGGCCCGGCTGTCGTCCCAGCAGCCGGAAAGAGGCTCACCCAGAAATGCTGGTGAGCCTCTTCTGACCTGTGCATCTTCTCTAAGTGGGGCACCTCATTCCTGCCCAGAGCGTAGCTGGGCAGACCTGAGGGAGAGGCCCTGCTCCCAATGGGCAGAGGAAATGCCCGTTGGGCACGTCTGGGGTGCACCAAAGCACAGGACCTGCCACCAGTAGCCTGGCCTGAGAGTGTGGGGCAGTCACAGGCAGGCGTCTCCAGGGCCTGAGGGCAGCCCCCAAGGCAGGGTGGACACGGCAAGCTGGGTGAGGGCAGCCCCACAGCAGTGTGGACAAAGGCTAGTGCCCTCAAGGCCCACCCTGGCCCCAGGGCTGCTGCAGGAAGCACTTCCCTGACCCCCGTCCCACCTGCCTCCTTGGACCCCTGAGCTGGGGCTGCTCCTTGGATCTCCACATCCCACAGCAACCCAGAGAGTAGGAGGGGCAGGGAACACCCATTTTCCCCCAATCTCCCTAGGAGATGGGATTAATGTCCACCTCCGGGGTGCTGGGCTCTGGCTATGCGGGTGTCTGGGGGGACAATCCATGCAGGTATTTGCGGGGGATGGTCTGTGCAGGTGTCTGGGGGGATGGTCTGTGTGGGTGTCTGGGGGGATGGTCTGTGTGGGTGTCTGGGGGGATGGTCTGTGTGGGTGTCTGGGGGGACGGTCTGTGCGGGTGTCTGGGGAGAGAGTCATCTGTGCAGGTGTTTGGGGCGGCTGGGTTGCACTGCCCTGGGCACCTGCAAATCTGTGAGTGTCCAGTGACCGGGGTAGGTCTCGGGGTCTGCAGCCTCCTTGGCCTTTAGCCTCCTTTCCCAGTTTCTCTTGTCTGGCAGGTGCCAGGCTAGGACCCAAGCCTCCTGCTGTCACCTAGAAGTAGGGAGAACCTGGGAATAAGGGGTCCCAAGTTTGGCAGCCCAGGTCACCAGGTGGCCTTGGGCCAGGCTGGGGGCTGCTGGGCTGGACAGGCCTGGGGTTCGGGAAGGAGGAGCATGCACAGGGCCAGCCTTGGGGAGTCGGTTCAGAGTCCAGGGAGCCCCTGCTGAGAGTAGGCCAGGCCCCTGCATCTGTTTCTCCCTCTGTGGATTTGTACCTTAGAGACAAGAACACTGTGACATCCAGAAAGGGCCTGCTGGCACCAGGGCTGTCGGGCAGGTGGGCTCGGAAAGGCTCTGGCCTCTCCCCATAGCAGGAGCCTCCAGCCAGGCTGGACCCTGGCCCACTCCCAGCTCCCCAGAAAGGGCGGTCCCAGCTTCCTGCTTGGCTGGCCTTGACATTGTTTCCATTTGGGCCAGCAACCCAGGCAGCCTGAGGCCAGACTGCAGCTCCTGGGCTGGTTGCTGGGCGTGATGGCAGGGGGCTGCTAGGACAGCCAGCGGGCCCCAGGGAGAGACTTCCCGGGCTCAGGGTGGTGTCTGGGATCTGATCCCAGCCTGGCTGCAGCTCGAAGCCTTTCTCCTCCCAGGGCCTGGCCAACCTAAAGGGCCATAGACAAAGCTTCCAACAGCACTCAGCGTGGGAGACCTGGCCGGGGCGGCCGTGAGGAGCAGTTTGCCGTGGGACCCCTAGCTCTGTGGCCCAGCCCTGCCCAGATGCCCTGACACATGCCCAAGGCCTGGGCAGGAGGACTCGTTCTGGGGATTCTGAAACAGAAGCTAGAAACCTCATCAGGCCTGGAGAATCAGACAGAGACTGCTCTGCCCAGAACCCCCGTCCGCAAGCAGGGCTGGGTGCAGGGCTCACACTCTGATCACTGCGAACCCTTCAGAAGCCACAGAGCCCTTCTGCCAGCTCCCCGGCCAGGGCTGCCCACCCTCTGTAGCTTGAGGTCTGAACCTCATGAGTTTTCTGTGGGCAGAGGGAAGCAGCCAAACCCAGGCTAGTATCTCTGGGTGGGACCCTCCTGGCAGCCAGCGCCCACCCCCTTCAGGACCACCCCTTCCCCTTGCACCTTGGCAAGATCCCCAGAACCCACCATCCTCCTTGGAGATTGAAGAGAAAGAACACCCAGGGTGGGGCCTTTGTAACCCCCCACCGGGTGGTTAGGGGCAGAGCAGAGGGTGTGGAGTAGGACAAGGGCCTGACCTTCCTCCCAGCAGCCCCTGGGGCCCCTTTGGACTGAAAGGTCAGGAGACAGAAGCAAGGAAGGAGGGCGGCTTGGGAGGCGGGGCCAGAGGCCCTGAGAAGGGCACCCATGAGGCAGGGCAGCCCGGGTGCCAAGAAGCTGCCCTCAGCCCCTCCCCCCATGCCACACCCCCAGTGGAACCTCCTGACTGTGAGCAGGAGTCACCGCCTCCAGGGAGCCCATGCCTGCATCACAAAGGAGGCCCGGAAGCCTTCAGGCAGCCTCAACTCAGCCCCAAGCCACTGCTCTCCCATCCCAGTCCCTGGAAATCCACCCACTTGGCCCAGCTCACCCCAACTCCAACCCACTGGGACCCAGTCTCCAGGGGCCTGACTGTGGGCGGCAGCCACTCCTGAGTGAGCAAAGGTGAGTTGTGCTGAAGGAAGGTACCCGGCCTGCTTTCCTGGGCCTTGAAACCCTCTCCAGGCCCTCTCCTGGGCCTTGAAACCCTCTCCAGGCGCTCAGCCCCTTTCTCAGGAGGCTGGGCGGGGCGTCCTGTGTGCAGTCTCGCCTGTGCCAGGGCAGGCAGCCCCCTCTGGCATACGGTTTATCTTACCCAAAGGACCCGCTGTCCCCCATCTGTAGTAACCTGGAGAGGCCACGAGTGTCCCCAGGGAGCCGCAGTGCCTTCGCCTCAGCAGACACTCCACACCTGCCCCGGGTACTTGGCTCAATTTGAAGGTGTTTATTTTGTGTGTGCCGTGGGGCACATGGAGCCGTCTGTGGATACCTGCAGGACAGAATGAATTCAGGACGCAGGAGCAGATTCATTAATTCTGACCAAAGAAAGAAGTTCGTGGAAGCTGAGCTCAGACTTGTCCAAATGATTGATCCATTCATTCATCATTCATTCATTCATTCACCCAACAGATAATGACCGAGGTCTCTGGGGTGGGGGTGCCAGTCTAGGTGAAGCGGCCCCCACAGAGGGTGCCCCTGCCCGTGGAGCTGACGTTCCCAGGGGGCTGCAGAAGTATCGAGGAGATGTGGAGGTGGAGCTGGGAGTCCCTGGAGAGACACAGAGCAGGGGAGGGGCTGGGGCTCCCCGAGTTGAACCCGAGGCCGAGCCAAGGAAGGCCCCACTGGGAAGGGGAGCTTGGCAGGAATCTGGGAGGCCTGCCTGGGTGGGTGGGGAGGGTGGGGGGAGAAACCTGGTGGGCCTGCCTGAGGGTAAGGGGAGGGCATAGTGAGAGGGGAGGAGGGCCAAAGAGGGTCCTGACATCAGGGCAAGGCCCGGCTCTTCCTCCAAGGGTTTGGCTACCAGGGGCCAGGGAGTGACGGCCTCTGATTCTAGTTACAGGCCCCTGGGCCCCTGTGGTGGGGATCAGTGGGTGAGACAGACCCCTCAGGGGGAGGTGATTGGTGGGGCCTGGAACAGGCAGCGAGTGGCAGGAATGAGAAAGGGTCCGACTGAGATGGGATTGGAGGCTGAGGACTGGCGCGGGGTGTGGACGCAGGCAAGGGAGGCAGATGGCTCCAAAGTCCAGCTTCAGCCAGTGGCGGGATAGGGGTGTCTAGGGGCACAGCAGAGGGCGTCAAAGGAAGCATCTGAGGGTGTGTGGATGCATGAACGCTGCGGTTCACAGAGCCAGGGACTGAGAGAGGTGGCTGAGGGGACAGGAAGGGAGGAGCGAGGGACCTGGAGGAGAGGAGTGAGGTCCAGGTCCCCGTCCCCGCTCCTCACACAGCCAGAGGTCAGGGATCTCTGGAGGAGTCGCTGAAATGAGCTGGCCCAGCCACCTTTGCAGGGTGTTGCCCAGACAGGCTAAGGGACATCTAGGATCTCCCAGGGAGTCAGGGACAGAACTCAGGCAAAGTCCACAGCAGGGGGGCGGTGGGGTACAGGGGGGCGGAAGCACATTTAGCCCAGGTGCTGGCAGTCTCAGCAGCCAGTCCCTGACCCACCCACAGGCAGGACTGGGCCTGGCTTCCTTTCGCTGCTCCCACATTATCCGCCCTGCCTGGTACAGGGCTAAGCTGGGGCTCAGCACAGCAGGTGTGTGATTGCGTGTGACGACTGAAAGTGCTGGAAGGCCAAAGCACCCAGCCGCTTCCCTAGGACCGGGCAACTTCCCAGCAGGGCTCCGAGTGCCAGCGAGGGATGTGCACATCCATGCATGTGCTCACATATGTGCACACACACACAGACATGCACAGCCACACACCAGAGCACACGCACACACGTGCACACCCACACACACAATCATGCACATGCACATGAGCGCACACGCACAGGTGCACAATCACAGTCACACACGTGCACACACGAGCGTACACGCACACACGTGCATATCCACGCACACAATCATGCACATGCACACACAAGAGCACACGCACACAATGCACAGTCACACACATGCACACACGAGAGTACACGCACACAGGTGCATATCCACGCACATAATCATGCACACGCACACACGAGAGGACACACGTGCACACTCAGGCACACACGTGCATATCCACATAATGCACATGCACACATGAGAGCACACGCACACATGCACAATCACACAGTCACACACGTGCACACACGAGTGTACACGCACACACGTGCATATCCGCACACATAATCATGCACACGCACACACGCGAGCACAGGCACACACGTGCAGTCACACACATGCACACACGAGGACACACACGTGCACACTCACTCACAGTCACACACATGCACACATGAGCGTAGACAGTGCATATCCACGCAATCATGCACACGCACACACGAGAGCACACGCACACACGTGCACACACACACATGCACACACCAGAGCGCACACACACGTTCACGCTCATGCAGTCATGCACATGCACACACCAGAACATGTGCACACGTGTGTGTACACGATCATACATCAGAACATATGCACACACGCACAGTCATACACATGCACACGCCCAACTACATGCACACACTCATTTGCACACATGTGTACACTCAGGTTCACACTCCCACACATACACGCACACTGGAGCACGCAGACTTGGGAGCCTCCTGAGTCCAGTGTCCTGTGCCCCAACCCTTCCTGCCCAGCTCCCTGTCCTGCCTACAGCAGCAGCCTGTGCCCAGCCGTGTGTGTCTTCAAGTGCTGCCCACTGCCCTGCTGGCTCCAGAAGGTGTCCCCTCCATAGTAACAGGGTCAGGGGACGACCAGAGCTGCACACCAGCCAGGTGGCTGCCAGGGTTGAGACTCAAGCCTGCCTGGCCCTGCAGATCCCTTCCTGGCCCACGTAGTCACCGCCTGTGTGGGTACCTACTGTTCTGGTGTCGCCCATCACTGGCTTCTGGGCTTCAACAGGAAAGGTGGGCTGGGAGCCCAGAAGCCCAAGTGGCCTCCCCGACAGCGTCCCTGACCTAGCGCTCAGGCCCACAGCTCCAAGACACCCAGCATGAGCAGCCCAGGGGGGCTCCACTACAGGAGTCCCTTGACAGCACAGGAGCTGAGCCTCCTGGGTCCAGCTTGCGACCCCAAGCTGGGAGCATCCCAGTCCTAGAACCTCCATGCACTCAGAGATTCCGGCCCAGGGGTAGTGTGGAAAGTCCCGGGACCCAGTCACCCAGGGTTGTGAGCTTGGAGAGGGAGACGGGAAGAGTGTTCCAAAGGCACCCAGCGCCCGCTCCCAGCCAGCATCCGGCCCTTCCAGCCTCGGGCCGGGCTCGGGGAGCTCCACGCCCCTCTCCCCTCTCCCCTGCCCTGGGCCTGCAGGTTCCTCCGCGGTGCTCTCCCGTCCAGAGCCCTGCTGATGGGGAAGTCCGAAGGCCCCGTGGGGATGGTGGAGAGCGCTGGCCGTGCAGGGCAGAAGCGCCCGGGGTTCCTGGAGGGGGGGCTGCTGCTGCTGCTGCTGCTGGTGACCGCTGCCCTGGTGGCCTTGGGTGTCCTCTACGCCGACCGCAGAGGTGAGTGCGGGTGCCCCGCCCCCGCCTGTCCCCGCGCCCGCTCTCCGCGCTCGCCCCGCTGCACCTGCTGCAGGGTCCGCCTGCCCCCAGCCCGAGCCCGCCCGTCAGATGGGGCAGGTGGGTCTGCACTGGGCACCCAGGGGCTCCCGGGGCCGAGCTGCGGACTCAGAGGCGGCGGGAGGGGCACTGACCTGCAGGGAGCCCGCGGTCCCTTCCAGAAAGCTCTGCCCCGGCCCCGACTCCCGCGCGCTGCTTCTGCAGCTCCGCACCCGCCCGCCTCCGCCTCCGCCTCCGCCTCCGCCGGACTCCCGGAGGGTGGGGGGCGCAGACCCGTCGCCCGCCCCTCCGCCCACCCCCTCCCTGCCTGGCCGCGCAGCCCCGGCTGGGGACCACCGGCGTCCGTGTCCCTCCCGCCGCCCGGGCTCACCTGGCTGCCTCACTCCCCCGCTGCCATCCTGCGGAGAGACCTGAGGGTCCTGCCGCCCCCGCCCCGCTCAAGGCCGGGTCAGGTCACGGGACCACGGCGGGAAGGGGCCAGTCTGGGGTCCCACGGAGACAAAGGCGTGGCCAGGGCTGCTCGCTGGAACCTCGGGCTGTCCCGGGAACACTCCCCCCGCCCCCGGCTGTCCCGGGAACACTCCCCCCGCCCCCACGCCGGCCCCTCCCTTGATCTCCCCTCTTGGTTCAGGGGCTCCCAGGCACCCGTAGACCTGGTCACCTTCCAGCCGCCCCTGCCAGCCCCTCCGCAGGCACAGCCCTGGTCCCTCTGAGACCGGGCAGCGCGCACACATCGGGGAGCAATGCTCACCCCCGGGGCAGGTGCGTAGGGCGCTCCCACCGTGGCAGGCACCGGACTCAGAGCTCATGGCGGACCTCGCACCCCAGGTCCAACAATGGGGCGCCTCAGCCTGTGTTACTAGAATGCCCCCTCATGTCTGGAGCCCTGCGCACTGCCTGGGACCATCCCTCCACCCCTGCGGGAGGCTGTGTCTGTGAAGCAGAAGTGGGTGCTGCCTGTGGATGTGCAGGGCGTCCCGGCCCGGGGCTGCATGGCTGGCCACTGTACAGTGTGGCTGCTGCCCAGACCGCAGCCCCTGGCCCTCTAGGGTCTCCCCTGGGACAGAGGGGTCCTGCGACCTCCATGGGCGGTGGGCAGTGGGGGAGGGAAAGGCTCACTCACCCTGAGGAACCCAGAGCCCAAGGGAAGCTCTGTTCAGAGCCTGCTGGGCTCAAAACACCTGCTTTCCAGGCTTTCATAAAACAAGGCTGACCCCACACACACCCCCAGCTGTGGGGTAGGAGGAGGCCTCTCTTCTTCTGGGTCGTGCCAAAGGGCCTGAGCCCACCCATCCCAGAGAGACCCTCCCTGCCCAGCCAGGTGCCTCGGGAGTGCCCCACGGTGCCATGGATCTCAGCAAAGCCTGCCTCCACCCACTCCAGTGTGGAAACGGGCCCTGGACCCCCTCCCTCCAGGGCGGCAGAGCCCTCTGTTCCCCGTCAAGACCCCCCACCAGGAATGACCCCACAGCTGACCTTGGCCTCAGTCCAGGATTGTTTGTGGAAGGTTTTCTAAGCAGTTATTATCATTTATTTCTGTGTATTTTCTCATTTCCATTATGACTTTTTCATTGACTTATAAGTCATTTAGAAATTTTTTTAATTTCCAGACATGAGTTTTTAGTTACTTTTTTAAAATTATTGATTTCTAACTTAACTGTGTTGTCAGAAACCATGGTTTATGCCATTATTTATGTGGTTCTTTCTTTGATATTTGCTGGGCTTGCTTTGGGGCTAACACTTGATCGATTTTATAAATAAGCCCTGTGTGCTGCGGAATAGGCTCAATCACCAAATGCTGAGTGATGGTGTCTATCTACATCCACTAGATCAATCAAGTCTTCTACATATTGGCTCTTTTTCCATTCTCTTGATCTCAAAAGAATGAAAGATTTGGAAAGATCAAGAAAATGATTTCTTAAAATCATGTACTGAAGTGTGTATGCTAAAATCTTGCACTAAAGAATCACCCATTCTTGTAGTTACATCAAATCTTACCTAATTTACCTATTTAAGGCGATATTACTATGTGAACGCAAATTTAGGTATGAATTATAAAATTAGTTTCATAAATTTAATATTGTAGTAAGATACACATATGAAGTTAATATATCTTTCACTTCGTGAAACTGTGTAGTCACCGTTTCTGACTTAACAAGGCTTTTTGCCTTAAATCCTGTTGAGCCTGACATGAGTACTAGCTACTCAGCATTTGCTGTGTCTATTTTTTCCATTCTTTTTCTTTGAAACTTTTCATCTCCTTAGCTTTAGATGTGTCTCTTTCAATCGTGTATGGCTGGATTGGGGGTTTGTCTATCTTTTAATTGGAGGATTTTGTTGGTTTATAATTACCAGGACAACTAAAATGTATGTGTTTCCTATTGTGTTGTTTTGTGTGTCTCATGCGTTTTTTTCTCTTTTCTTGCCTTGTTTTGGATCAACCTATCATTATTTCCTCTATTTTCCCTCAACTAACTTGGAAGTTTTGTATTTCTATCTTTTCGACAGTTATCTTAGATTTTTTTGTTTTAATTATTTTTAAAGTTATAAACTTTCTTTTATAAAATCAAATGTTTTTACAAAAATGACAGTGAGAAATACAGTCTCATGTCCATCCTAGAATTCTACTCCTCCAAAACAACTGTATTCATTTTCTAGTACAGGGGTTGGCAAACTATGGCCCATAGGCCAAATCTGGCCCCTTGCTTCTTTTTGTATATAAAGTTTTATTGGAACACAGCCAGACCCATTCATTTATGTATCATCTATGGCTACTTTCCTGCTAGGACAGCAAAGTTGAACAGGTGAGATGAAGCATGTATGTGGCCCACAAAGCCTCAAATATTTACATCTGGCTTTTTACAGAAGTCCAACCCCAAGACTGGAGTGCCCCTCGTGTATAAACCTGGTCTGTGAACCCTTCTCTCTTTATCGTACAGTTTAGATCATGAGGAGGCATTATCAGATTGTGGCTAGCACCCAGGCTCACAGTTTTTGACCACTCAGAAAGCTCAATCCACATACCTCTTCCCCAAATTTCTTTGTCACCAATTTTCCAATCATACTTCTTCCAAGTCCCTGACCATCCAGCCAAACCATTGGCTACAGCCCATGAATCGGTACATAATCGCATCGCACATCTGGCCTCTTCTCCTTCCAAGCAAAGTGCACAACAAGGTACGCTGCTTGAAGTTCTGCCCACTGGGAAGATTTCCCTTCACCGCTGTCCTTCATGGATGTCCTGGAAAGGGGCTATAGTGCTGCAGCTGTCCACTTGTGGGTGGTGCCTTCATATCATGCAGAACCATCTGTGAATCAGGCCCTAGTCTTCTCTTCCTCTGTCCACTGGTCATAGGGAACTCCCCATGAGGCTATCGGTGCAGGCTGGAGGAGAGAAGGCAGGGTGGGAGGAGTGAAGACCATGGGCATTTGAGCCACTTCCTCATGTAACTTACTTGTGCCTTCAGGACTTGCTTGAGCCCGATCTTGTATATACCACTTCCATTTGATGATGGAATGCCGCTGTGCATGACCCACTTTATGGCTAGATGGGTCAGAAAGCACCCAGTTCATGATAGGAAGTTCAGGTCGCATGGTGACTTGGTGATCCGTAGTCAAACGTTCACTTTCCACCAAAGCCCAGTAACGGGCCAAGAGCTGTCTCAAAAGGAGAGCAGTTAACTGCAGAAGATAGCAGGGCCCCGCTCCAAAATCCTAGAGGGCTCCGCTGTGATTCACCCACAGGGGCCTGCCAAAGGCTCCAAACAGCATCCCTATCTATCTGCCACTGACACTCCAGGCACCGTTGGATCTGCTGGGTCATACAGCCCAAGTGGCAGAGCAGCTTGCCCAGCAGCCTGGACCTGTTGCAGAGCCTGCTCCTGTTCTGGACCCCGCTCGACACTGGCAGCCTTTTGGATCACTTGATAAATGGGCTGAAGTAACTCGCCCAGATGAGGAGTGTGCTGCCTCCAGAATCCAAACAGGCCCACTAGGCCCGAGACACCTTGTCTCAGATGAAACTTTGGACTCGGAATTTTGAGTTAATGCCGGAATGAGTTCAGACTTTGGGGGACTGTTGGGAAGGCATGATTGGTTTCAAAATGTGAGAAGGACATGAGATTTGGGAGGGGCTGGGGGCAGAATGATATAGTTTGGCTCTGCGTCCCCACCCAATCTCATGTCAAATTGTAATCCTCATGTGTCAGGGGAGAGGCCTGGTGGGATGTGATTGGATCATGGGAGTGGATTTCCCTCTTGCAGTTCTCGTGATAGTGAGTGAGTTCTCACGAGATCTGGTTGTTTGAAAGTGTGCAGCTCCTCCCCCTTCGCGCTCTCTCTCTCCCCTGCTCCACCATGGTGAGACGTGCTTGCGTCCCCTTTGCCTTCTGCCATGATTGTAAGCTTCCTCAGGCGTCCTAGCCACGCTTCCTGTACAGCCTGAGGAACTGGGAGTCAATGAAACCTCTTCTCTTCATAAATTACCCAGTTTCAGGTAGTTCTTTCTAGCAGTGTGATAATGGACGATACAAGTAGAGACTGAGATCAATAGCATTTGCACTGGGCCTGGAACACACTGTTAAGAACGTAAGAGCTATTGCTGTCATTAGTAATATTCTGTATTATTGGCAACATCATCACAATACACTGCTGTGGGAGGGTCTGAGATACTTCTTTGCAGACTCCAATATTTGTCAAAACATAAAATCAGGAGCCTCATGAATAGTGTTTAAATTTTTACATAATAATACATTGCACCATTTGGTATATGAGTCTTTTTGAAATGGTATATGCAGGACGGTTTCCTAATATACAGAATCAGGTACACCTCCTCTTCCATCAGTGCGTGAGTGTGAGGGATTGAATTCCTCTGGTTAGGAGTTAGCTGGCTGGGGGTTCTACTGCTGTTGTTACCCACAGTGCACCTCAGACTCACGTTTCTCCAGCAATGAGCTCCTGTTCCCTGCACTTAGAGAAGTCAGCCCGGGGACCAGACGGTTCTCTCCTCTTGCCTGCTCCAGCCTTGGCCTTCAGCAGTCTGGATGCCTATGACACAGAGGGCATCCTCCCCAAGCCCTGGTCCTTCTGTGAGTGGTGAGTTGCTGTTGCTGGTCAGTACTAGGCTCGGGCTGGAGGTGGGGGCTCTCTGGTGTCGTGGCCCAGTCTCAGGCTTAGGCAGGCCTAGTATACCTGGGGCTGGGGATGCACCTCTTGGCATCCCTACCACATCCCCATGTCAACCAAGCTTCGCCCTGTGCCTGAGTTGCCCACCCCTCCTCTAGAGGCAGGAGACTGCTTGATGTCAGTCTAGGATTCTGGGCCCACAAGGATCTCCTGCCCTTCCATGGGCCGGGGATTTTTACTCCTGACCCTCCTACAGAACAGGGGATTTGCCTGGTTCCTGGGCGTGAGAGGGGTTACACCTGCCTCAGTGGTTTAAAGCTTTTGCTGCCTGCCAGACGAGTATAGTTTCATGTCTCAGCCAAAGCAGGTCCCTGCCTCCATCCCTGGGCCACCAAGGGAGGCTCTCTCCAGCCTTCTGAGACCTGCCCCAGCCTTTCTCATCGGCATCTGGGAAAGGCCGTGGACAGAACATGGAGTGATTGAAAACCTCTTCGTGATGGGGGCTCCCGGCTACTCCAAACTCATGTAGCAGCCCACACTGGGCCTGTAAGAATGTGTGAAAAATTTTAGCTGATTTCTTCTGACCCACTTGGAACATCTCTTACTCTCAGGTCTTGACCAAAGTGAAATAATTTACATATCCGGCCTTTCCTTGGAGGGCCTTATCACTCGGAAATTGTTTACCTGATTGTCTTTGACCTCAGGTCTTGGATGGGCTCCAAAAAGTTGTGCTTTTTGTAGTTTCTTTGGCTTTTTCTTGTACGGAAGGAAATGATATTCAATTGCAGCTTTTGATGTCCTCGGCAAAAAGCAGAACTTCTCTACCTTAAATTTTTATGCTTATTTAACTTAAATATTAAAGTAATCAATATCTCTATTATTTCTTCCAAACAATACAAGCATTTAGAACAGTTTAACTCTTCGCACCACTACCCACCCTGTTCACATGTTATTGCCGTTAAGAACTTGGTTTTTTTTTTTTTTTAGACGGAGTCACTCTGTTGCCAGGCTGGAGTGCAGTGGCGTGATCTCGGCTCACTGCAACCTCTGCCTCCTGGGTTCAAGCGAGTCTCCTGCCTCAGCCTCCTGAGTAGCTGGGACTACAGGTGCGTGCCATCACACCCAGCTAATTTTTTGTATTTTTGGTAGAGATGGGGTTTCACCATGTTGGCCAGGATGGTGTTGATCTCTTGACCTTGGCCTCCCAAAGTGCTGGGATTACAGGGGTAAGCCACCGCTCCTGGACTTTTTTTTTTTTTTTTTTTTGAGACAGAGTTTCACTCTTTCACCCAGGCTGGAGCGAAGTGACACTATTTTGGCTCACTGCAACCTTCGCCCCCAGATTCAAGCGATTCTCCTGCCTCAGCCTCCCAAGTAGCTGGGATTACTGGTGCCCACCACCACGCCCAAATAATTTTTGTATTTTTAGTAGAGATGGGATTTTGACATGTTGGCCAGGCTGCTCTCAAACTCCTGACCTCAGGTGATCCACCAGCCTTGGCTTCCCAAAGTGCTGAGATTGCAGATGTGAGCCACCGCGCCCGGCCAAGAATTTGGTTTCTATCTTACTTTTTACCTACCACAGATCAGCAACATTACTATTTAATATGGTCAATGTTAACTCAGATCTTCCCCTATCCTCATGAATTCCATTATGCATCTTTCTTCTTACATCTTGGGCAGTTCTTATTAAATAATTTTTCTTTTTTCTGAAATACATACTTCAGAGTCTCCTACTCAAAGTGTGGCCCACAGACCAGTGGTGTCAGCCATTGCCTGGGAGCCTGTTAGAAATTCAGAAACTCAAGGTCCAACCAAGGCCGCAGGACCGGTGTTGGTATTTCAGCAAGACCCCCAGGTGATTCATCTGCACATTCATGTTAGGGAAGCACTGGTTTAAAACAGTGTTGACCAAATTTGCTTGATAATTGGAATCACCTGGGGAAATTGTTACAAATCCAGACATTGGGCCCTCCCTCAGTTTGCCTGGGCTACAGTCACAAAATGCTCAGGTGGCTTAAAAACAGAAACATATTTTCTCCTCCTAGTTCTGGAGGCTGTGAAGTCCAAGATCTAGATGCCAACTGAATCAGACCCTCTTGTCAATGACAAGAGTCAAACTCTGTAAAACATTTGCAGAGATTTATTCGGAGCCAAATACGAGTGACCAATGGCCCGTGACACAGCCCCAGGAGGTCCTGAGGACGTGTGCCCTAGGTGGTTAGGCTGCAGTCTGGATTTACACATTTTCGGGAAACATAAGACATCAATCAATACATGTAAGATATGGCTGGGCACAGTGGCTCACACCTGTAATCCCAGCACTTCGGGAGGCCAAGGTAGGTGGATCACCTGAAGTCGGGAGCTCGAGATCAGCCTGACCAATGTGAGAAACCCCATCTCTACTTAAAATACAAAATTAGCCAGGCGTGATGGCGGATGCCTGTAATCCCAGCTACTCGGGAGGCTGAGGCAGGAGAATCACTTGAACCTGAGAGGCGGAGGCTGCAGTGAGCCGAGATCGTGCCATTGCATGATGATGGATGAAACTGCATCTCCAAAACAAAAAAAAAAAAATGTGCATTGGTTCAGTCCAGAAAGGTGGGACAACTCCAAGTAGGGGCTTCCACATCACAGGTAGATTCAAAGGTTTTCTGATAGCAGTTGGCTGGAAGAGTTTATCTAAAGACTTGGAACCAATAGAAGGGAATGTCTGGGTTAAAATAAGGGGTTGTGGAGACCAAGGTCCTTATTATATAGGTGAAGCCTCCAGGTAGCAGGCTTTGGAGAAAATAGATTGTAGTTCTTATTAGACTTAGTCTGTTCTCTCAGTCTTAAGGTCTCTGGTTTTGTTTGTTTGTTTTTGAGACAGGGTCTCACTCTGTCACTCAGGCTGGAGGGCAGTGGTGCAATCACAGCTCACTGCAGCCTCAACCTCCTGGGCTCAAGTGATCCTCCCACCTCAGCCTCCCAAGTAGCTGGGACCTCAGGCACATGCCACCACACCTGGCTAGGTTTTTCTATTTTTTGTAAAGATGGGTCTCTCTGTGTTGCCCAGGCTGGTCTCAAACTCCTGGGCTCAAGCAGTCCTCCTGCCTCAGCCTCCCAAAGTGCTGGGATTATAGGTGTGAGCCATCACGCCTGGCATGTCTCTGTTTTAAGGTGAATGCTGGTCAGCTGTGCCTGAATTCCAATGGGAAGAGGGTATAATGGGGCATGTCCAACCCCCACTTCCCATCATGGCCTGAACTCGTTTTTCAGGTTAACTTTGGAATGCCCTTGCCTGAAGGGAGGGTCCATCAGTCACCTGGAAAATTTAGTTTATTTTTGGTTCATGCTTTCTTCCCACAAGGCCCATGCTTTTTTTTTTTCATTATTTTATTGTTTAAAAATGTTTTCCCACTTCAATAAGCTGGTCTACCAAATGGCCACCTTCTTGCTGTGTCCTCATGTGGTGGAAAGAGACAGTGAGCTCTGTCATTTCTTCCCCCTCTTATGAGGGCACCAGACTTACCAGATTATGCCCCCCACCAGCCCTGCCCATTGAGCTGATTTTAAACCTCCTCACAGGCCCTATCCCCAAATAGTCACATTAGGGGTTAGGGCTTCAAACCACAAAGTCAGTCCATAACAAGCCCCAAACAGTGAAACCCGGGAATCTTGTAGGGTAAGACCTCTGAATCCCACACGCATTTGAGACCTTGCTTGTGATCAGACAAGTTTGGGGAGCCCTGCTTGAAAATAATCTATCAGCATTAAACTCTTATCTCTTGTCTATGTGAAAATTACTTTATTTAGCGCTCGTCCTTCAGTGATCATTTAATTGGTTAAATGAGTCTGAGCTGTTATTTTCTCTCAATATCTTGAAGATTTAGCTCTCATGCCTTCTGACTCCCCTTGCTGCTGTTCAGACGTGGCTTCAGAGAAAAGTACAGTCAGCCTAACTGCCGCTCCTCTGTTGGGTGAACAATCTTTTCTCCTTGAGCTATGTTCTCTTTGTCTTGGGTATTCTGAATTGTTATCATGAGTTGTTTAGCTGTGAAATTATTTGTATTTATTCTGCTGTGGATTTGTTGTGATTCCTGAAGCTGAGCACTGATAACATATATTAATGTTGGAAAATTGTACCCGTTATCTTCCTGGATGGTGTATCTCCCACAATATCCCTTTTCTCTCCTTTTCCATTTTCCACTGCATATCTGCTCCATTTTTCCCACTGTCCTCCATGTCTTTCAGCTTTTCTTTCATATTTTCCATCTTGTTGACTTTCTCCTGCATTCTGGGTCAGTTCTTTAGAACTACACTTCATTTCACTAAATCTTCTGTTCTGTTATGTCTGTTGCTTAACTCAGCCTTTTGGGTTTGTAGTTGTTTTTGTTTTATAAATCTCAACAACTACGTGGTTTTATTTCTAGAATTTACAATGGATCCTTTTTCAAATTGATTTTTTATTGTTCCTTGTTCTTGCTTTTGATTTTTTTTTTTTTTTTTTTTGATAGAGTCTCACTCTGTCGCCCAGGCTGGAATGCAGTGGCACGATCTTGGATCCATGCAACCTCTGCCTCCTGGATTCAAGTGATTCTCATGCCTCAGCCTCCTGAGAAGCTGGGATTACAGGTGTCCGCCACCATGCCTGGCTAATTTTTGTAATTTTAGTAGAGACGGGGTTTCACCATGTTGGCCAGGCTGGTCTCAAACTCCTGACCTCAAGTGATCTGCCCACCTTGGCCTCCCAAAGTGCTAGGATTACAGGCATGAGCCACCACACCTGGCCTAGTTTTGATTCTTTTTGAAGCATTTCAAACGTACTTACGTTATTTTATTTTAGCAGTTGGGGTCTTAAAACCCAGCCCAACACTCACTGGCATAAAACAATGATTTATTGTGAGGCACCTCCACTGTTTGCCTGGGGTCATCTGACCTAGGTTGGGCTCAGCTGGGGTGCTCTGTCCATGTAACTTTCATCCTCCTACCAGAGCCCAGCAAGCATTCCTGCGCAGATCCCTCTCCTGGCAGTGAAAGAAATCCAAAAGGACAGGTGAAAACATGAAAGCCCTCTTAGGGCCCAGGCTCAGAACTGGAACCCTGTCATTCCCACCTCATTCTGTTGGCCAAAGCAAGTCACTTGGGCCACGCACAGTCAAGAGATAGAAGAAAAAAAATAATTTGTCCCTTTTGTGGGAGCAACTACGGAGTCACATGGCCAAGGCACGGATGCAGAGAAGACTCAGATCCAGGGCCAGTGGTGCCAGCTTCCATACGTTCTGGATCAGATCATTCCTAATTGGCAATCTTTGGGGTTCTGGTTTTGCTGTTTGTTTTCTCTCACTAATGTAAGATTTTCTTTTTTAAAAATGTAAATACATATTCAAATTGGCTTTTATCTATGGGGATCCTGTGTTATTGGGCTGAGAAATGTTCCCTCTGGAGAATATGTATTTGTTTTCATCAGGCACCTTAGGACACTACCAGCCTGGAGTTTCTTTAAATTGGCTTCTCCGCGAGAGGTTTCCTTGGCCACACATTTCTGTAAACTCGGCAATGGCATGACAAGCCGTCTGTGATTACACATCCTCCAGGGAGGGTGTTTCTTTCTCCACTCTGTGAAGTTCTTTGTGCCTTTGTTTCTTCTGAAAGAGGGATGGAGAAGAGAGGGAAAAGAAAAAAATGTAAATTATTTACATCAAGATTGTTTTAGTCCATTTGTGTTGCTCTAAAGGAATACCTGAGACTGAGTAATTTATAGAGAAAAGAGGTGGATTTGGCTCATGGTTCTGCAGGCTGCACAGGAAGCATGGCTCCCCATCTACTTCAGACTGTTCCATTCATGGTGGAAGGTAAAGGGGAGCCTGTGCATGCAGGTCATATGGCAAGAGAAAGAGAGAGAGAGAGAGAGAAGAGGTGCCAGGCTCTTTTCAAGCCACTCAGGGGCACCAAGCCATTCATGAAGAATCAGGTCCACAATCCAAACACCTCCCACCAGGCCCCACCCCCAACATTGGGTATCACATTTCAACATGAGACTTGGTAGGGAAAAATAAACCACATCCAAACCGTGGCAGAGGTCTTATTCAAATCAAGGCATTTGGAAAACTTTAGGAAAACAAAACCTTCAGAGGAAATGTCAAAAATAGTTTTTAAAATGTAGAAAGCCTATGTCAAAATGATTGGCATATTACAGAAGTTATTCAAGCAAATATAAAAGAACAAAGAGAAGATCCTGTGTCAACTGAGTATTCAGGAAAGCTGCCCTTTTTGGAATTATGAAAAAGAAAAATCTCCTTTTGGAGAGATCATTGACTGTGTTTCCTGTGATCATATTTTAGCATTAGGGTAAGATTTTGTTTCTTTTCAGCCATTGTGTCAAAAGGGTCTCACTGTTTTTGCTTTTTCTCTTAGAAGAACAGAGCTGTCGAATGCCAGTATGGGGTCTGGAGGTTCATGCCCTGCCACTCCCCCAAGGAAAGTGACCTTGGGTGTGTGATCTTGCCTCCCCAACAGTTTTCCCAAGAAAAGTAGAGATGAGGAACCTCACAAGCTTCTTTTTTTTGAGATAGAATCTCGCTCTGTCGCCCAGGCTGGAGTGCAGTGGCGCAATCTCAGCTCACTGCAACCTCCACCCACGGTGTTCAAGTAATTCTCCCACCTCAGCCTCTTGAGTAGATGGGATTACAGGCATGCACCACCACGCCTGACTAATTTTTTTTTTTTTTTTTTTTTTTTGAGACGGAGTCTCTCTCTGTCGCCCAGGCTGGAGTGCAGTGGCGCGATCTCGGCTCACTGCAAGCTCTGCCTCCCGGGTTCACGCCATTCTCCTGCCTCAGCCTCCCGAGTAGCTGGGACTACAGGCGCCCGCCACCACGCCCGGCTAATTTTTTGTATTTTTAGTAGAGACGGGGTTTCACCGTGTTAGCCGGGATGGTCTCGATCTCCTGACCTCGTGATCCGCCCGCCTCGGCCTCCCAAAGTGCTGGGATTACAGGCGTGAGCCACCGCGCCTGGCCACGCCTGACTAATTTTTGAATTTTTAGTAGAGACGGGGTTTTGCCATGTTGGCCAGGCTGGTCTTGAAGTGATCCTGGCCTCAAGTGATCCAGCTTCCTTGTGATGATTAAGTGAGGCACTGTAAGTTAAGGGACGACACGGAAAAAACATGCCTAGCTCATCTAATTCAGTTTTGAAAGTGCTGCTCAGGAGCTCACTACATCCTCAGGCAGCCCTTGATCTGCAGCATCTGGTGAATTTCCTTGGGGGTTTCCCCCATCAACAAGGCTACGGGAAATCCTATGTTGGGAATGCCGTGGGAGCTGTAGAGGCAGGATGCAGGCATGAAGGAGGCATGAACTCGCCTCTTCAGTTGTCCTAATTTGTTCTGGATACATCTGACTAGATGGGAAACAAATGAATCAGAGGCACTGTTTGGGTCCAGGTCTCCCGTCACACTTTGCTCCCTCTTTACCCTTTCTCAGGCTCATCATTCCTGCCCACCAATCTGGTCTTCCCACTGGTTTCGTGTCCCTTCTGAGTGAAGACCTTTTAGCATTTGTTGTGGGGCACATCTGGTAGAGACACATGTTCTCAGCTTTGGTCTAAAATGTCTTTATTTCACTTTCACTTTTGAAATATGTTTTTGCTGGGTATAGAATTATAAGCTGATAATGTATTATTGTTTTTTTCAAGGACTTAAAGAGCTCATTCCATCATCTTCTGGCCTTCATTCTTTCTGGTGAGAGGTCACCGTCATTCTTACTGTTGTTCCCCTCAATATAATGTGTCTTTTTTTGTCTGCTTTTTTTTTTTTTTTTTTGAGCTAGGGTCTCACTCTGTTGCCCAGGCTGGAGGGCAGTGGCATAATCACAGCTTACTGGAACATCCCCCCTCCCAGACTCAAGCGATCTTCCCACCTCAGCCTCCCAAATAGCTGGAACCACAGGTGTCCACCATCATGCCCAGCTAATTTTTGTTTTATAATTTTTTTATAGAGGTAAGGTTTCTCCATGTTGCCCGGGCTGGTCTCAACTCCTGGACTCAAGCAATCCACCTACCTCAGCCTCGCAAAGTGCTGGGATTCAGGCATGAGCCACCATGCCCAGCCCCACTGACTGCTTTTAAGTATGTCTTGAAATTCTTAATCCTGAATTTCTCTTTATCTTTAGTCCTCCACAGTTTGACTATGATGCTGCTGGATGGTTTTCTTTGTATTTGCCCAGCTTGGGATACACTGCCCTTCTTGGGGTAGATTTATATCTTTTACCAACTTTAAATATTTATTGGTCAGTATCTCTTCAAATATTGCTCTCTGAGTCTCTAGTTACATATATGTTAAGCCATTTAACATTGTCCTACAGGTCTGAGATCTTCTGTTCAGGTTTCCTTCCGTAATATTTCAAAAATTTAGAACAATTTTAGATTTACAGAAGCATTGCAAAATAGTACAGAAATCCCTATATACCCCACCCCCAGTCTCCCCTATTATGAACATCTTGCATTAGCCTGATACATTTGCCACAAGTAGTGAACCAATAGTGATAATATTACTATTAACTAAAGTTCACACTCAATTCACATTTCCCCGTTTTCCCTCATGTCCTCTTACCGTCCCAGGGTCATATCCAGAATGCCACATCTTCTCAGGCTCCTCTTGGCTGTGACAGTTTCTCAGACTTTCATTGTTTTCTTGTTTGTGTTTTTGTTTTTTGTGATCTTGACAGTCTTGAGGATTACTGATCAGGTGGAATGACCCTCAGTTGGAATTAGCCTAATGGTTTTCTCATGATTAGACTGGGGTAACATGTGTTGAAGAGGAAGGCCGCAGGTCACAGGTGCACACTTTCAATGACTGGACTTATCACTGTTGATGTTAACCTTAATTGCCTGGCTGGAGGTAGTGTCTGGTTTCTGCGCTGCAAGTTACTTTTTTCCCTTCTTTTTCATAGTGCAGTCTTTGAAAGGAAGCCACTGTGTGCAGCTCACACCTGAGGAGTGGGGAGTTATGCTCCACATCCTTAGAGGCAGAGTATCTACCTAAAGTATTTGGCATTCTTCTGTATGAGAGATTCATCTATTCTCCCTCATTTATTTATTTACTCAATGATTTGTAGATATTTATTTTACACTTTGCATTATAATCCACTGCTATATTGCATTGCTCAAATTGTTCTAACTCTGGCCATTGGGAGTTGTCAGTTGCTTCTATGACCCTCTGATGTATCCCCATTATCGTGAATTTGGGGTGAGTTTTTTGGGGGGGAGCACTTTCTTACTTTTTGACATTTCAACATGCTCCAAGCTCATCTCGTATGTTTCCTACCCCAGTTGTATAATCAACCATTTTTCTAAGGAGCCCTGGCTTCTTTTATCGGATAATGGTATCAAAAACCAACAGCTTCTAGGATAATGTGGTGTCTGAAAAACAAACAGAAACCAAGAGCTGGGTCCTATTCTTTGCTTATTGCTACTCCTTGGTTGGTGTTGCTTCTAGTCTAGCTCACCTGGCAGAGCAAAGGAATATGTATGTATACATGAACCCATCTAGATACTCATATCTATAAATATTTATATATGCAACCATCTGCATCTATATTAAGCTAAAAATGAGTTCACACTGTTGTCTCCAACTCTACTCCACCACCACATGGACCATTCTGACTTCCTCCTTTCCTTGTCTGTAACTTCTCACTGCAGCAGCAATAAGCCCAGCCACCTGCTATCCACTTACTTTTTCCATTCCAATGTACATGTGCAGTGGTTTCAGAGTTCAGCTGGGATCCCATGTAGGACAACTTTATCAACTAGAGTACAGCGCTTATGTACAGCTTCCTTTGCTTTAGTCTCATAGACTCTACTCATTTCTAAAGTTACTTAGGTCAACACTTTATTCCCCTATCCATTTCAGTGAGATTGTTTTATACATTTGTCTTGAGTCTCATTCTGCGTTTCATCCTGGGATTCCCCTGACAGTCTAAATAATTTTTTAACTTTGCATACAATAAGGTTTACTCTTTGTGCTATAACATTCTGTGGGTTTTGACAAATGGGTTCACCATTCACCACCACAGTATCGTACAGAATAGTTGCCCTGCCAAATGCATTCACTATTTGTCATTTTTTGCCCCCAAAACTCCCTTGTTCTTCACCTATTCAACCTCTTCAACATCCATTTTCCCAAACTCCTGGCAACTACTATTTAACATCTCTCCTCTCTAAAGTTTTGTTTTTCCAGAATGTCACATAATTGGAATCAGACAGTATGTAGCTCATAGTTTTTTGTTTTTTGTTTTTTGTTTTTGTTTTTATTTTGAGACAGGGTCTCACTCTGTCTCCCAGGCTGGAGTGCAGTGGTGCAATCTCAGCTCACTGCAGCCTCAACCTCCCGGGCTCAAGCAGTCCTCCCACCTCAGCCTCCCAAGTAGCTGGAACTACAGACGTATGCCGCCATGCTTGAACGTCCTTGCCAGGCGCATGTGCCCCTCCTCATGCTTTGACTCCAAAGGCAATGCAGCCACAGGCCTCTCCTCTCCTGGGAAGGCTTCATTCCTCCCTGGAATTTGACTCATGCTGGTTTCTCTATGTCCTCAGCTCTCGTGGGTTTCTAAAAGTGCCCATGCTGTAGGTTCTCCAGCTTGCTCTCCTGGCTAGGGTGGGGGCCACAGTCAATTTCAACTTTCTGCATCCTAATCAGAAGCAGAAAGCCCTTGCCCTCCTTGTCACCACTTTGGTCAGAGGTGATGTCCCTCGAATCCACTCTTTTGCTGAGGTGAGGCCCTCTGGAGTCCACAGTCCAGTCTCTGGTCCATAGGCTCTGGGTTACTGCAATTGGCAAACACCACAGGGCAGCCATGCCTTCCGCTCGCACTCACCACCTCCTTTCCGTTGCTGGCCTGGGGGATTCCTTTGCTCTGAAGCTCAGCCTTGCCCTTCAGCACTTTACCTCGGTGTATGCAGCATGCGGCACTTTCTCCCTGTTTCCACCGGGCGGGGGGCTCCTTGAGGGCTGGGCCCTGTCAGGCTCACATCTGAACTGCAGCATCTGGCCTGGCTCACAGTCATCATCCAGTGTTTCACTAATGGCTTTTTGAATGGCCAGGCCCCCAAGGAGCTGATATTTTTGTGGCTTCTAGCACCCTCTCTGCAGTCTCTGCCCAGGGCTAGGCCAGGTTCCAGGCCTGCCAACAGCCCTGACCTGAACGAGCCCTGTTCCCTCCTTCCATTCAGTCCTCTGTGTACCTCACTGCTGGGGAAATTCGGCCACAAGCCAGGTCTGAAGGTAGCCAGGCCTGGCTTGTCACCTCTCTGGACCTGGGGTCCCCTCTTCTCTCCATCCCACCCTCCTCTCCCATACATCTCTCCAGGCAGTTGACAGCCATCCCAGGAGCCCCCGATGCTGACCAGGCAGGCCCCTCCCAGCAGGCAGTAGAGAGATGGAGGGAGGGTGGCTTGGCACCTTCAGCAGCAGTGAGGGTGGAGGGGCTAGGGACAAGGGTCATTAGTGGGAAGCCACCCTCTCTGAAAAGGCCCTGTCCCTCTAAATGAGCCTGCCCTGTGGGACTCCAGGAGCGTGCCACCTTGTGTGGGCCTTGTCAGGGTCAGGAAGATCCTGAGGTAGAGGAGGCTGTCGGGAAGAGGAAGGTCTCACCTCAGGACCCCTCTAGGCCCTGGCACATCGGGGACCTTGGGGTGGGTGGAGGGAGAATTAAAGGGTGGGGCTGGCAAGGCAGGGCAAACCGCCCCCCATTCAAGCCCAGCAGGACACAGATTGAAGCTGGCCCCTGCAGTGAACTCTGTGGATCTCCTGTCTCGCTGCCCTGGGGACCAGCCCTCACTACAGGGGTAGGGCTGCAGCACCCAGCACTGTGGGAAGATGGCGTGCTGACCCAGGGAGGCCCCCAGCACCCCCAGGGAGCTGCAGGCAGGAGGCCGCAGCTGAGCGCTGTGTTTCTCCCCAGGGAAGCAGCTGCCACGCCTTGCTAGCCGGCTGTGCTTCTTACAGGAGGAGAGGACCTTTGTAAAACGAAAACCCCGAGGTAGCCTTTGCCTTCCCTTCCAAAACAGCCCCAGGCAGGTGGGCGCTGGCCTCCCAAGGTGGGGGGACTCCGTGGAGGGGCAGGGGCTGGGTTCTGCCCAACCCTCATGTGCCGGAGGAGGGCCATGGGGAGAGGACAGTGGCAGGGACCTCAGCTGGGTGCACCTGCTGGACGCAGGAGGCTTACTGGGCACTGTGGACACTCCGCACCTGCTCCTGCGTGGCCTCAGCACATTCAATTCCACCAGCTGGCACAGGGGTGGGGCAGGCCGGGGCAGGGCATGCAGAGAGGGGCAGCAAGGCAGGCTGCCTGGAGGAGCTGGCCCTGGCAGCAGGTGAGAGTGGGCTGGGCAGAAGGCAGGAGGGCAGAATGGCCGGCTTCAGCCCTTGGGGCCTGGGGCAGCTGTGGGGGTACATGGAGGCAGAGGGTGTAAAGGGGCTCCCAGGTCCCTGCAGCGGTCAAGGACAAAGAACGAAGCTCACTATCACTGAAGGCCTCAGGCCTGGGCCACCTGGGGAGGACTTGGGCTGCCAGGCTGGACCACCCATGGGGATGGAAGATGGGGTGGAGGGCCACACCCCACCCCCACCAGACTATGCTTTGGTTACCCTGGCCTTGCCCTACTGGCTTCAGCCCATGCTCCACCCACCCTGACCTTGCCCCGCCCACCCCAGTCTATGCCCATCCCCATGCCACACCCACCAGACCTTGCCCCGCCCACACCCACTCCAGTCCTGCCCCACCCTCTCCGTGGCTCCCGGTGCTCAGGCTGCTCCTTGCCCGCAGGGATCCCAGAGGCCCAAGAGGTGAGCGAGGTCTGCACCACCCCTGGCTGCGTGATAGCAGGTAAGCCCCGCCCCCTTGCCGTCCACAGCCTGCCCAAGGGCTGGGGGCTCCCGGCTGACACTGACGTAGGCCCCGCCCAAGGCCCAGGGAAGCAACTCCAAGACACGGCGGGCGGTGGAGCCGGGTGGGCCGGACTCGGACTCGCTGTGGAGCGGGCGGAGCTGGTGTTTCTGGCATCTGGCGTCCGCTGGGCCCCCAGTCCCCAGCCTCCAGCAGCCAGGCCCTGCAGCAACAGCATCCCGTGCCAAGAACCCCAGCGGCTTTTGTCCACATTTATAGAAAGAAAGGTTCAATGAATAGCCACTTTCTTATTTCAGATTTTCTCCCAGGCATTTGTCTTAAAATTGGGGGTCAGGTACCGCTATTTGCAGATGACAAAAACTGTTAACATGCTGTGAAAGCGCCAATAGTGGAGAAGCTCTGGACTGTGGCTTTTCTGCCCGTGCTGGGGGCTGGGGGGCCTGTGGACACGCCTTCCGTGAGGTCCCCAGCCCCAGAGGTGGAGTGGCCAAGACCAAGTTGGACAGAATTTGAGGGACGGTTCTTGGTCGGGGGGTGCAGCCCAGCTACCCCAGTTGAAAGCGTTCAGTGGGAAGCCTGGGTCTCCCCTGTCCTGTGCACATTCGGGGTTCCTGGGGCAAAGCCAACCCCTCTAGCAGAATACAAACCCCCATGGTGGTAAGAGTCGTCCCTCCCTCTGGGGACCAAGCACACTGATGAGTGAGGGGGCAGGGGGCAGAGTCAGAACAGAAAGGCCCTGGCGGACAGCCAGGAGCTGGGCCCGGCTTACAGGGCATGGTCACCAGCTGAGCACCTCCTGTGAGCTGGCACCATCTCAGCCATCGCCTCAGCCTGCAAGTCAGACCGCTGGTGTTCCCGGATTCACAGACAAGGAAATGAGTCTCGGAGGGTTTGGGGTTCAAGATCAAGTGGTTAATAAGTGAAAACCCAGCCGACTCATGCCTGAATTCCCAGCAACTCTGGAGGCCGAGGTGGACCACTTGAGCCCAGGAGTTCCAGACCAGCCTGGGCAACACAGCGAGACCCTGTTCTAAAATAAATTTTTTAAAAAGGCATTCGGGAGAGGAGACACACATCTGTTATCCCAGCTACTCAGGAGGCTGAAGTGGGAGGATTGCTTAAGCCCAGGAGTTCAAGGCTGCAGTGAGCTGTGATCACGCCACTGCACTCCAGCCTGGGCAACAGAGTGAGACCCTGTCTCTAAAAATAAATAAGTGAAAACCCTAGCACTGAATCCAGGTTGGGGGATTCCCTCTCTGCAGCTCAGAGAGGGTGGTTAACTCTCCCTGGGCACACAGCTGCGACTGGATGGACAGCAGCCCCTTCCCAAGGGACCAGGCTGTGTCTTGGACCGGGAGACAGGCTTCTGGGCTGTCCACAACTCTCTCTGTCTCCCCTCTCCCTGCTCCACGCCATGGGGACGAGCAGCTGCCAGGATCCTCCAGAACATGGACCCGACCACGGAACCGTGTGACGACTTCTACCAGTTTGCATGCGGAGGCTGGCTGCGGCGCCACGTGATCCCTGAGACCAACTCAAGATACAGCATCTTTGACGTCCTCCGCGACGAGCTGGAGGTCATCCTCAAAGGTGGCAGAGCACGGCCGGGGGTGCAGTGGGGTGACGCCGAACAGGACAGCACCGGGCCAGGAGTTGGTCCTGGCTGTGTCTCGCCCCTGTTTGTGCTTCCTCCTTGGTCCAGTGGGCGCAGAGGAGAGGGAATAAAGACCCAGCAGCTGGGGGGCCGCCTCTCGCCGAGCACTTCAGGGGGTGTAGGGACCTGTGACCTGGCCCCTGCAGCCTCGTCAGGCCTCTGTCCAACCTTTTCCTGTGCCCACAGCGGTGCTGGAGAATTCGACTGCCAAGGACCGGCCGGCTGTGGAGAAGGCCAGGACGCTGTACCGCTCCTGCATGAACCAGAGTGAGTGGGGGCCGCCAGGAAGGGGCCGAGGCAGGGGACGGGGGCGGGCTGCCCCTGCCAGGGCCTAGCGCAGCCCCAGGACCCCATGGCTGCCCCTAGGGTAGGAGTGGGTGCCTTTAGGACTCATGCCAGAGGGTCTATGTGCTGTGTCCCGCTCCCAGCCACAGGGTCCAGGCTCGCAGTAATGCCAGCTGCCCTGCGGCCTCACTCACACCCCAACCCCAGCACAGGCCACACGTTCCAGGCTGCAGGAAGACTGTGTGTGTGTGTGTGTGTGTGTGTGTGT
Organism: Homo sapiens; assembly: GCF_000001405.40. Lineage (NCBI taxonomy): Eukaryota > Metazoa > Chordata > Mammalia > Primates > Hominidae > Homo > Homo sapiens. The sequence continues at coordinate 160,242 of NT_187515.1, read as the reverse complement.
GTGTGTGTGTGTGTGTGTATTATATGGATATGAGTATGTGTATATATGTGCATGCATATTATACATTTATATGCATATGTGTGTGTTGTGTGTATATGTATGTATATTGTGTATGTATATGTGTATACGTGTATGTGTATATATGTGTTCATGCATGTATCTATATATGTTACATGTGGTTTGTGCATGTGTACATGTGGGTACATGTGTTGTGTATGCATGTATGTGTGTTGTTATGTATATGTGTATATGTATATGCATGCGGTGTGTACATATGTGTGTGCATTGTGTGCACATGTGTGTTACGTGCATGTCACATGTGTATTGTGTATAGTGTATATGTGTATTATGTGCACATGCATGTATGTGTATATGTGTGTATTCTATGGGTGTGTTGTGTGTGCATATGTGTATGTTGTGTGTGCATGTATGTGTGTGTTATGTGTATATGTGTGTACTGTATATATATGTGCTGTGTGTACTTGTGTACATGTGTATATGTGTGTATGTGTATGTGTGTATGTGTATGTGTGTATATGTGTTATGTGTGTATACATGTTATGTGTGTGCTGTATGTGTGTCATATGTGCTTGTGTGTGCATGTGGATGTATGTGGATGTGTGTGTGTGGTGTGGGGGGCAGATTATCCATGTTTCAGTTCCTATTAAAGGAATTCACGTGCTTGGAGCACCCCCGGCCCAGCACCGTTTAACTCCTCCACTTGGGGGTCTGCAGGCCCAACCTGTGGTTGTGGCTGCTGTAGAGACAGCTTCTCCGCTGAGCACCAGGGTTCAGGGCTGGTTGTTTTGCCCAGGGGGTCTCGTGGAGCCTCCGCCTGACTGTGGAACTCGCTGGGACCCTGGCTTTAGGGGGCGTCTCCGTGAGACCCCTGCTTGGGTGCGCTGGGCTTGTCTCCTCCCCATGGAAACAGAAGGCTGGGCCCCCATTCTGGGCAATACTCCCAGCTGGAGATGACTTCCTGTGTCCTCGCCTTTACTTAATTTTTGGCCTGAGAGGCTGAATATACAAACGGCAGGGGCCAGACCATGTGGAAAACTGGAACGCAACTCAGGACCGGCAGCCCAGCCGGGAACCCAGCCCTTTATCCCCAGTGGGCAGCCCAGGAGGTCAGACGGCACTCCCCACGGCATCCGGCCCCTAACAGCCGGGGCCTGCCTCATCACAGGCAGCCTCCCCTGGAATGTCTGTCCCTTCCTCCAGCATAGGACCCTAGCCAAGCCCAGAGGAGGCCGGCCTCTAGTGAGCCCGCCACAGCCTCCCCAGGCCAGCAGCCCCCACTCAGCCCACTCGGGCCTCCCCTCTTCCACTAGGAAGCCCTGCTGCTCCCTGCAGGCCTTTGACCTGACGGGGCACCTGCCATGCTGTGCCAGCACTGAAGCCTTCACTTTGCCCTGTGGGTGGTCTTCACTTATTCCCACAGTGACTATCTCCGCGTCCCCACCTTTACCTAATCTTCGACTGCAAAAGCCCTGCTTGTCGGGGCCCCACCGTGCTGAGCCGAGACACAGGACACACACAGGCCCCAGGGCTCCCCTGCCTACCCCGCGCCCCCTCCCAGCCCACCCACCGCTGCCTGAGTCCTCGCCGAGGCTTGGCCTGATCCCAGAGCCTCCTCTCCTCTCCCAGGCTCCTCGCCTGCTGGCCGGCTCCCAGGCCCCAGGGGCTGCCTCCCATCATCCTCTTTGTCCCCCGGGGCTCATGTGCTTTTCTCAGCCCCCAGGTCTCCTTTCACGCCCGTGTCCAGTCTCAGCCTCCGCCTCCTGCGCTGCAGAGCTGCCAAGATGCTGACCTGTGACGGGAGGGTGCAGGTGTAAAGGCCCAGAGGCTGGGAGGCCGCCTCTCGCGGAGCACTGCAGGGGCTGTGGGGACCTGTGACGCCGGCCAACGGCGCCCCCACAGTTCTGTGTCGTGGCACGTGAGCCACAGGGAGGCTGGGAGAGTGACCACTGCGTCCCTTCTCAGGTGTGATAGAGAAGCGAGGCTCTCAGCCCCTGCTGGACATCTTGGAGGTGGTGGGAGGCTGGCCGGTGGCGATGGACAGGTGGAACGAGACCGTAGGTAAGGCCGGGCCTGGCAGCAGCCTCACAGACAGACAAAGGAGGACCAGGACCAGGGCTCCTTCGGTCTGAGGCCTTCCAGGAGGGGACCCCACCCCCACCCCCAGCTGGCTGCTCTCAGGAGCCCCAAGAGGCCCAACCCAGCCGGGGCAACCTCAGGGTCCTGGGAGGTGGTTTAGGTTCCATGCTGGGGAGTTGGTGCCCCGTGGCCAGTCCCATCCAGCCCTGCAGAGGGGTGCCCCTCCTCGGCCCCTAGGAGCGCTCGACACTCAGGCCCCAGCCAGGCTCCGGCCAGGCCCTGGCCCCAGGGCTCCCCACTCTGAGCATGTGCTCCATTCCCCCGGGGGCAGGAGTGGCACCTCACGTGGCTGGCAGCCCTGACAACCCCATGCTGCTCCCAACCCCCTCCGGTCACCTGGGGGCCCGCCTGTGGCTCCTGGGCTGTTAGGGAAAGTGTCTCCCACATCCCCCAGCCCCTAAGGCGCACAGGTGAGCTCCCCACCCTATGGCCCCCTAGTTCCTGGCTCCGGAGGCCAGATTCACCGACAAGGGGCCGGGCTGGGGCCCCAGGGCCCGCCAGTCTCCAGTGCGGGGCACTGTCTCCCCAGGACTCGAGTGGGAGCTGGAGCGGCAGCTGGCGCTGATGAACTCACAGTTCAACAGGCGCGTCCTCATCGACCTCTTCATCTGGAACGACGACCAGAACTCCAGCCGGCACATCATCTACGTACGAGCCGCGCCGGTGGGCAGGGGTAGGCAGGGTCCCCAAGCCTGGCTGGGGGCTCTTGCAGCACAGCAGAAGGATGGGCCAGGCCGACAGGGAGCTCCGGGGTCTCCTGGGACCTGGGCTCCTGGCTCCTGTCCACGTCCGTGGGCCCGGGAACGAGCTGCTGCTGCTGGAGTTTCTGTTGGGCCTCCTGGCCAAGCTGGGGGCCACAGTAGAACCCGGTTCTGGTCAGAGGGGCGGGGGCTCCTGAACAGCGGGGCTGGAACCGGGGCAGGAGGCCTGACCTCAGGGATCCACTGCTGGCCACGGGCTGGAGGCCAAAGAGAAACACACGAAACAAATACGCGCCCCACTCTGGGGGAGCCGCGGGTGCTGCGAGGCCCGGGACAGCCTGAACCCCTCCCCACCCCACCCCCGCCACCCTCTCCAGTCCAGCCCAGCGCCCCCACCATCACTCGGGGCAGGGTCTGGCCTCCCGGGTCCGGCACAAGCTCCACCACCAGCTCCTGGGCAGAGCACGTGTGCACGGGGCACAGTCCTGTGGGGAGGCGGCTGCAGCCTGCCTCAGCCAGGCTGCGGGGACCCCGGGCCCCTTGCCCAGGGTCACACCTTCTGTATTTCCAGATAGACCAGCCCACCTTGGGCATGCCCTCCCGAGAGTACTACTTCAACGGCGGCAGCAACCGGAAGGTGGGTGGGTCCTCACCGCAATGCCAGATGACCCCCCCATCACCCCCTACCCCGTGGTCTGGCCTTCCCGTTGCCCACCTGGCCTTCCCTCCCCGAAGCTGGTGTTAGTGAGCACCTGTGGAGGTTGAGCCCGGCACTGAGGGTGGCGGGTGCAGACGTGACCTATTGCTTGCCACCATCCTGGGGGACGTTCCCTCAACACCCGGGCCAGGCCTGGGGACAAGCTCAGCTCAGCAGCAGCCCCATGGGGCAGAACTGTCATCCCCCTCCCGTCAGTACAGACCCAGGCTCTGCAGCACCGGATTCCCAGGAGGGCCCCTGGAGATCTGAGTGCAGGCAGCTGGGCCCCGAGCCTGCTCCATCTCAAGGGGCTGTCAAGAGAGGGGAGGGATGAGGACCCCCACTGTGGACAAGGGGACCTTGAGGCTGGCAGGCCCAGGGCTAGCCCAGGGTGCAGGGAAGGGTGGGGAAGGACAGGGAGCAGGTGAGGAGGGCAAGGCATCCAGCACCAGGGCAGAGGTGAACAGGCATGAGGCATGAATGCCCCAGAGGGCCAGACACAATCCAGGGGGCCTCCTGGTGGAGGTGGGCTATGAACTAGACTTTGAAGGATGACCAAGCCCAGAGGAAGGGCCGTGTGGCCAAAGGTGGAGCAGTGGGGCTGAGAGAACCACGCCAGAGCAGGAGGGACTGGAGTGTCTCAAAAGCGCCATGTCTGGCCATGTGTTCAGACCAGGCAGCTATGGGCCAAGCCTGGCCAGAGCATTGGCCTGCACTGGGGAAGCCCTGCCCAGCGCGAGGAAGGCAGCTCCCTGAGGAGCAAACTTCCTCAGGATCCCACTCCAGACACTCAGGCCGGGAAGCACCTGGGTAGGGAAGCCCAAATTAGCCCTGGCACCCACCACCCCGGCACCCACCACCCTGGCACCCACAGCCCCGGCAGGCCCAAGTTAGCCCTGGCACCCCAAGCCCAGCACCCCAACCCCAGCACTGAGAGCCCCAGCACCCACCTGTGCAAACCCTTATAGGCAGCCACACAGTTTAAGCCCTGAGCAGCCCTGCAGACTAGGTACCCCGTCCAGTGGCTCGGGCACAGGTCACGCGTCTGAGACGCTCCCACTCGGCACTCTGTGTGCCCGAGAGCCTGCTGGTCAAGGTGGGTGGACACGCATTAGGGGCTTCCCCATGTCCTACGCCCACCCCACCCCCACAGAAAACTCCCTGGGGGCCATGGTGGCTGAGGCCACCCAGCTCTGCCCGGCGTCCTTTGGCCCAGGTGCGGGAAGCCTACCTGCAGTTCATGGTGTCAGTGGCCACGTTGCTGCGGGAGGATGCAAACCTGCCCAGGGACAGCTGCCTGGTGCAGGAGGACATGGTGCAGGTGCTGGAGCTGGAGACACAGCTGGCCAAGGTAAGGGGGCCGGGGCGGGTGGGGAGCGGGCAGCGAGTGGGCTGGGAGCCCCAGGCGGTGTGGCTGGCCAAGGTGAGGGGGTGCTGGGTGGGCCGGTAGCAGGCAGGGACTGGGCCAGGAGCCCCAGGGGGCATCCTGGCCACCCGCCCGTGTGACTGCTATCCCCGGCACAGGCCACGGTACCCCAGGAGGAGAGACACGACGTCATCGCCTTGTACCACCGGATGGGACTGGAGGAGCTGCAAAGCCAGTTTGGCCTGAAGGTGAGGCCACACCACACAGGAGGCCGGCACTGGCCGGGTGGAGACTCGTGGGGGACATGGAAGCGGCCCTCTGAGAGGGCACGTTGCCTGGCATTTAAGCTCAGAAACATTCCCCATCCCCGAGCAGGGAGACCCTGTACCTGATCACCCAAACTTGCTGCAGAGCAGCACCAGCACGATTACTAATGTCACTGGGACAGCAGTGCCAACTGTGCCATCCTGGAACAGAGTCACCCATCTGTGCGGTGCTGTGATGGCCCCGGTCTTCTGAGCAGGAAACGGAGGCCTCAGGGGGCTGCTGATGTGTGGGGGTGTACAGGGTCCCACCCAGGGCTCTCAGACCCCAAGTCCCGCTCAGAACCTTAGCAGGGTGCTTCCTCCCAGTCCTGCCTGCCCTGAGGGTAGCAGTTCCCCCTGGCCACACCCTCAGGCGCTCCCCTGCCCAGTGCCCAGGCCAGGCACCGCCCTGTGCTTTGAGGTGGGGGCTGGAGAGGAGCAGCCCAGCCTGGGAAGGGGCAAGTCCCCCACTCCCTCAGCCGACTCTCACCCTGCTGGAGCAGCTGGCCTTCTCGAGGGCCTCCTCCCCCAGGAGGCGCAGGCGTGCAGCTTCGGCAAAGGGTGCCCAAGTCAGTGGGGGGAGGGCAAGGGCAGAAGGGGGTCCAAAGCCCCTGCCCCCTCAACCAGAGTATGTCCCTGAGTGTCTGGAGCCACAGCTCTTGCCAAGGGCAAGACAGAGAGACTCTGGGGAGAGCCTCGCCCCAGGGCACCTAGTGCCTTGGAAGGCTGGTGGTCCCTAGATCGGTTCTGGTCCCCAGGGCTGGCCTGCGGGGACACACCTTCCCCAACACCCCGCTGCCCAGAACACACGCAGTGGGGCCAGGCTCTGCTCTGGCACTGGGCTTTATCCCCTTCCCAAACAAAGGCCTATCTCGATCGAGGTTCCGGTGCGGGAGAGGGACAGAAAAGCGGAGTGACCTCTAAAACGTGTCAGAAAGCCAGAAAGGGGGCAGGATGAGCTCAGCCAGGACAGCAGACAGGAGGTAAAGCCTTGCAGAGAACCAAGGGCCATGGCCATCTGGGGCCAGTGTGGCTCACACAGCAGTTCCCCAAGAGTCTGGGGCAGGGACTCCCAGCTAATGAGCACCGGGGCTAGAGAGAGATGGAGTAGGAAGTAAAGCGGGGGATGCCGTGTCCGACCTCGGGGGCCACTTGAAAGTCTCAGACTCTGCCCGAGAGGAGTGGGGGTATGACAGGACGTGACCTGGTTCACAAGTAAGAGTGAGTGAAGGGGACGGGGCAGGTGGCAGAGAAGCCAATCAGAGGCTGCCACGTAGCCCGGGCAAGAGATGGCAGCTCTGCCAAGGGGGGTGCCCGTGGTGGAGGTGGCTTTGGGGTTGATTTTGGAAGTGGAGCCAACAGGGTTTGCAAAAGGACTAAATATGGAAGTGAGAGAGCTCAGATGGCCTGAGGTTGCCGTGGAGACATCACAGCGGCAGGTTCAGGGGAGCGTCCAGGAGCCCAGGGTTTGGGGACATTTGGTTTACAATGCATTTATGATGTTCAGAATCGCCCCAGAGTGAACACATCCACACAATCACCCCTCAGATCAAGACTTACGTGACCACCGACATCCCAGAAGCCCCCACATGCCCCTGCCTAGCCCCTGTGCCTGCCTCCTTCCCTGGAGAAGAGACCCTGACTTCTCCCTGGAGGGAGGCCGGTCCCTGACGTGGCCTCTAGATTGCTGAGTGGCCTCTGACTCTAAGAACATGCGACAACTCGGGTCCCACTGTGCTGTCTCTGGGCCTTTTCTGAGTGATGTTGTCATGCCCATGCCTGTGTGTGCCTGTGGCAGGCAAGTGGGTAGGAGTGGAATTGCTGGGTGGAAGCACACGCATCTGTTCAACAGTAACAGGCACTGTCTTTCCCCAGAATTATCCAGGGATGTGCGCTCCCCAACAGCGGCTGGTGCCACACCCTCGCCCGTGCTGGGTGGTGTCCGTTCTCAGCCGTTTCTGCACCTGTGTAGTGGGGTTTCATCTGGGTTCAATGTGACTTTCCCCAAGGGCGGAGGAGGTTAAACGCCATCTCCTGTCAATTGGCCAATGCCATTCCCTTTTGTGGAACGTCTGTTTGAGTCTTGCCCATTTGTTCTATCGGGCGATCTTTCTCTGATTGATTCTTGGAGTTACCTATTTTAGATGTGACTCCTTGGTCAGCTTATGTGTACAAATGTTCTCCCCACTGGGCAGCTTGCTTTTTTACTCTCATAAGGGTTTCTTTGTTTCAATGGAGGCTATTAAATGGTCCAATTTATTGGCTTAGCAAATGTGTGCAGATCTCTTCTTCGTGGTTAGTATTCTTTGTGTTCTGCTAAAGAACTCTTTGCCTACCCTCAGGTTTGCTTAGGTCTACAATCTACTGTGAGTTGATTTTTTTAATGGACAGTGAGATGTAGGAATTGTTTCTTTCTTATGGATTTCCAGTCATTCAGCACCATTTATTAAAAAGAGCCCCCTGTGAGCCCCTGGTCTTGGTGCCTTCTGTGTTATAAATCAGGTGTTCCTGTGTGTCTATGCGTGGGCCCATATGTATATTTCTGGACTCTCTTTTGCCCCACTGGTCTCTTTATCTATCCAAGTGATAACCCCTACCACCATCACTCCTTCAGCTTTATAATGTCTTGATAGTCAATAGAGTATATATTTCAACTTTGTTCTTCAAGAGTGTCTTGATAATTCTCAGTCCTTTGCATTTTCACATAAAACTTAAAATCTGCCTTCCATTTGCATACACGCACACACACAAAAAGAAAACTCTGCTAGAAATTTGATAGGGATCACTTTGAATCTCTCTATCAATTTGGGGAGACTTTGCAATGCTGAGTCTTCCAATCCATGAACATGATATATGCTTCCATTTATGCTTCAATTTTTCTTAATAACTTTTAAAGCTTTCAGTGTCAAGTTCTTATACATATTTTATTAGATAAATTACAGGTGTTTGGTTTTCTACTATAAATAGAATCATTTTGAAATTATCTTATTTGTTGCTGATATATGGAAATACTGACTTTGTAAATATGCAGTCTTACTCAATGCACTTATTAGTTCTGGTTATTTATTTGTAGAATAAACAAAATCATATCATTTGTAAAAAAACAGGGGGGTTGGGTTTTGTTTGTTTGTTTGTTTGTTTGAGACAGGGTCTCACTCTGTCATGCAGACTGGAGTGGAGTGGCACAGTCATGGCTCACTGCAGCCTTGACCTCTTGGGCTCAAGCCTCCTGAGTAGCTGCGACCACAGGAATACACCATGACCAAGCCTTGCCTGATTTTTTTTTTTTTCCCAGAAACAGGGTTTCTCTATGTTGGCCAGGCTGGTCTTGAACTCCTGTGCTCAAGCAGTCCTCCCGCCCTGGCCTCCCAAAGTGCTGGGATTACAGGCATGAGCCACCGCACCTGGTCCAGTTTTATTTATTCTCTTTCAGTTCTTACTGGCTTTATTTCATGTTTGCTTTTACTGAACTGGACAGGATTTTGAGCATAATGCTGATGTCATAATAGTAGACATTAAAAGAAAAGCACGTATATTCTTACCACTAAATTTTATGTTTGGCCAGGCATGGTGGCTCATGCCTGTAATCCCAGCACTTTGGGAGGCCGAGGCAGGTGGATCACCTGAGGTCAGGAGCTTGAGACCAGCCTGGCCAACATGGTGAAACCCTGTCTCTACTAAAAATACAAAAACTAGCTAGGTGTGTTAGCACATGCCTGTAATCTCAGCTACTAGGGAGGCTGAGGCAGCAGAATTGCTTGAACCCAGGGGTCAGAGGTTGCAGTGACCCAAGATTGCACTGCTGCACTTGAACCTGGGCAACAAAGCGAGACTCTGTCTCAAAAATAAATTTAAAAAAAAGTTATGTTTGCTATGGAGTTGTTTTTGTTGCTTCTGCTGCTTCATACATTTCCTTTATCAGGTTATAGAATTTTCCTTCTATTTTTCTTTTTATCTTTTTTTTTTTTTTGAGACAAAGTCTTGCTCTGTTGCCCAGGCTGGAGCGCAGTGGAGTGATCTCAGCTCACCATAACCTCTGCCTCCCAGGTTCAAGCGATTCTCATGCCTCAGCCTCCCAAGTAGCTGGGACTACAGCATGCGCCACCACACCCAGCTAATTTTTGCATTTTTAGTAGACACAGGGTTTCACCATGTTGGCCAGCATGGCCTTGAACTCCTGGCCTCAGGTGATCTGCCCGCCTCGACCTCCCAAAGTGTTGGGATTACAGGCGTGAGCCACTGTGGCTGACCCCTTCTATTTTTATTTGCCAAGAGTTTTTATTATGAATAGATGGCAGATTTTATCAAATGCTTTTTCTGCATCTGTTGAAATAATCATGTGACTTTCCTCCTTTATTCAGTTATTGTAGTGAATTAAAATTATTTTATTTTCAAATGTTACACCAAACTTGTATTCCTTGAATAAATCTAATTCAGCTGTGATATATTAGCATTTTATACAAGTATGGCTAGGTTCTATTTGCTAATATTTTGCTTAGAACTTTTGTATCTATGACATAAACGAGACTGGCTTATTATTTACTCTGCTTATAATATCCTTATTTTGGTATCAAGGTTATTCTTGGCCTCATAAATCAAGTTGAAAAGCATTTTCTCATCTCTGGAAAGTTTTAATAAGATTGGCAGTTTTCCTTAAATGTCAGATAGAATCCACTGGTGAAGCCAAATGGGTCTGGAAATTTCTTTATTGGAAAGTTTCAAATTAAATATTCCATTTATTTAACCTAGAAGACTATTCATATTTTCTATTTCTTTTTTTGTCATTTTTGCTAAGTTGTGTTTTTCTAGGAACTTGCCTGTTATACTTAGGCTTTCGCATATATCTGCATGATCGCTTGGGTTTTTACAGCTGTAGGCTCTGTAATAATGTCACCCACCCTTTCCTGATTCTGATTACCTGCACTTCTCTCTTATTCCTTGAACATTCTTCAACAGGGGCTGGGTTTCTTAGATTCCCAGGAACTGTTTCTCCCTCTCTCTCTCTCCCTCTTTCTCCCCACTTCCTCTATCTGCAGGGATTTAACTGGACTCTGTTCATACAAACTGTGCTATCCTCTGTCAAAATCAAGCTGCTGCCAGATGAGGAAGTGGTGGTCTATGGCATCCCCTACCTGCAGAACCTTGAAAACATCATCGACACCTACTCAGCCAGGTGAGGCCCAGGGAGGGTCTCCAAAGGCCTCAGCATCTTTGCCCCTGCTCTCCCATCCTCCCCAACACAGCTTCTGCTCCCAGGAGGGGACCCTATGAAGCATCTGCCCTGAGGGGTGTGGGACATGAGGGGTTAAGCTTTAGTGGCCAGTGGAGTCTTACATTAAAAATGTGTCACATCCCAAGCACCCGGGGCAGATGGGCTGGATCTTGGAGGTGGTTGTCCTGGAGGTTTTCTCCAGCACCCATAACTCTCTGGGGTGGAACGTGCTGGCCAAGGGCCCTAAGCCATATCTCCTCCCTTGCAAAGACCTCTCACCTGTTCTCCCCTCACCCTCTACCTTCTGCCCCCAGGACCATACAGAACTACCTGGTCTGGCGCCTGGTGCTGGACCGCATTGGTAGCCTAAGCCAGAGATTCAAGGACACACGAGTGAACTACCGCAAGGTGAGCCCCTTCCCTGCCCAGAGCCTGGCCGGGCACTCATTCATTCAGGCCACGATGCTGAGCATAAGCTGTAGGCAAACACCGAGGTCCACACCAGGGTCACAGCCATGGACGAGGCAGGGCGAGGCGCCCACCCCAGTGGGGAGTGGACCATGACAGTCAACAAGGCAGAACGTAGCTCTGCCAAAACCGCAGAGTATGATGTGGCGGGGAGGCAGGGAGGGACGAGGACAGGGAGCACTGCTCCGGGGAGGCGACATTTGAGACCTTAAAGGCCTGAAGAGGCGGCGGGGTGATTTCCCGGGAGCAGAAACAGCCAGTGCCAGTGCAGAGGCCAGAGGCAGGAGCAGGCAGGGGCCGGACCCGTGGTCAGCAGCGGACAGGAAGGAGAAGATGGCAGGGAGGGAGGCGAGGTGACCACGGGCCACAGCAGCCGGTTTGGATTGTACTCCCTGTCTGAAAGCCGCAGGGGTGCTAAGAGCAGAGACGCGGTCAGATATGCTGCTCCTGTAGTCACTGTGGCTGCTCCAGGGCTGGGGTGAGGGTGGAGACAAGGAACCGCAGGGAGGCCCTAGGGGGATTCTGGCTGTTCTGGGGAGAGTGAGTTGAGTAGGGGGCGGGGTCAGCATGGAGGCCGATGTGGTCACCCAGGTGAGGTGACAGGCTTGGCCATGGTGCTGGCAGACACACAGACGCAGGGGAGGTGTTGACCGCAGCAGCTGAGGGATTGGGTATAGGGGCTAAGGGCAGAGGGGAGTCGGGACTCTCAAGACCTTTGTTAGAGTAATGGGAGGGACAGAGGTCCCCACTGCAATGGGGAGACTGAGGCAGAGGCAAGCTGGGGGCAAGTCAAGCCTCCTGTTGCCATGGGGGGGTAGGTCAGAGACATCTGTGAGTCAAGCGTCAGGGGGGCACTGAGTCTAGGAGCTTTGGGGAGGAAGAAAGGGCTGCCTCCCTTTCCTAAAGGGCAGGAAGTCCTGCAGCCCAGAAGGTGTGGCAGGACGCTGGGCAGAGTGCTCCCTGGGCTTTGCCTGAGTCTGGGGCCCAGAGTCTCGTGCTCCTGTGTCCCTGGGGACAGATGAGCAGGTGTTCTCACAGCTGCTTCAACAATGGAGAGACCAGGGCCCTGGGAGCTGGTGGCTGAGAGGGACGTGGTCCCAGGCCTTGCTCTGGGGTCAGCGCCAGCCCTGTGCCTTGAGACTGGGGCTGGAGTCCTGGAGAGCAGAGTCCAGCCAGACAACCAGGACAGGGGCCGGGGAGGAACCCCCCCAACTCCTCAGGGTAAAGGCCCAGCTCTCAGTCTGCGGAAGTTCCCCAATCACAATACCATGCCCATCCTTCCCCCCGCCGCAGCAGCACCCAGAGGTGAGGCTGAGATCATCCCGTGCCCCCGCTAGCCCCGGGGCACCCTGAGGCTGAGGATAGGTGGGTCTGCTCACCCCGTAAGCCCAGGGCCCCACGCCAGGCCTGGGAAGGCTGACGTGGGGGCCCGTGGGATGATCGGGTGGCCCCACCAGGCGCTGTTTGGCACAATGGTGGAGGAGGTGCGCTGGCGTGAATGTGTGGGCTACGTCAACAGCAACATGGAGAACGCCGTGGGCTCCCTCTACGTCAGGGAGGCGTTCCCTGGAGACAGCAAGAGCATGGTGGGCGCCCCTCATCCATGGCCCACGCGGGGCCAGCCTTCCACAGGGACACCGAGCCTCCCTGCCCTGAGACTCCCACCCCGCCCAGGCTCAGGGGCACCTGCCCCAGCTCACCAGACAGAGGGAGGCTAAGGGAAGCCGTGCCCACCCCATGCCCCTGACCCCAGCCGGCCACTGGGCCCCAGCCTGAGCCCTGCAGGTCCAGCTGGGAAAGGCACAGGTGGTACAAGTTGCCCCTGGCCCACGAGGACCCACAGCCCAGCAGGGAGGACCCTGAAGTTGGGTTGTCATCTCATCCCCCCACCGGCCCCACACCTCACCTGAGAGGCCCACAGCTGGGCAGCCCTGGGCCTTGCCCCGGCGGGGCTCAGACCAGACCTCCCCAAAGCCCTTGAGGCTGGTCATTCGCCCTCCAGATGAGTCTGGGACACGAGGGCCATGCCCGATTCCCAGGTCAGAGAACTCATTGACAAGGTGCGGACAGTGTTTGTGGAGACGCTGGACGAGCTGGGCTGGATGGACGAGGAGTCCAAGAAGAAGGCGCAGGAGAAGGTATGTGGCTCGCAGAGGTCAGGGCAGCCCCGACTGGATCTGGGCACGGGCAGCACCGCCCCGACAAAGCCTCCTGACGGTCCCCACGGGGAGAAGGCAGCCCCGGGAGGCGCAGACAGGACCCCACGGGGAGAAGGCAGCCCCGGGAGGCGCAGACAGGACCCCACGGGGAGAAGGCAGCCCCGGGAGGCGCAGACAGGACCACTCGCCCACTGTGGAGCTGAGGAAAAGCAGGCAGGGGCAGGAACCAGGCCTGGGACATCCCCAGCACCCCCCATGAGCCAGCGGGGGTAGCGGTGGCCTCGGGAGCAAGGGTCAGACCCACCAGAAGCTCCTCTGGACCCAAGTGACAGACGGCAGCCGAGTGACCCCTCCAGGGCCCCTGCCCCCACCCGGACCCCTGGCGGGCTGTTGGGCTCTAGGTCAGGTGGGCGGAGCCTTCCATATTCTGTCCCCATTAAACCTCCCCAGAGCCTGCAAGGTGGGGGCCAGATCCCGGAGCCCCCCAGCCCCTCACCACAGGACAGGGAGAGCACAGCCAGGATGCCCCGGGCTGACCCCTCCCACAGTGTGGCACTCACTGACCGGCCCCCGGGCTGACTCCATCCGCAGTGGGGCACCCACTGACCAGTCCCTCCTCCCCACTCAGGCCATGAGCATCCGGGAGCAGATCGGGCACCCTGACTACATCCTGGAGGAGATGAACAGGCGCCTGGACGAGGAGTACTCCAATGTGCGCCCCCAACCCCAGCCCTAAACTGCCCCCCACACCGTGGACATGGGCCCTGATTGCCTGGGGGCTCCTCTGTGCCAAGCTCTGTGCCCTCCTCCCAGGCGCTAACACAGCTGTCCTCACCGTGCCCTAGGGTGGTGGCTCCAGCACTACCCTCAGTGTACAGATGGGGAAACTGAGGCCTGGAGGGACGAGGGACTTGCTCAGAGTCATGTAAATGCCCACAGCCAGGGCTGCCCCGTTCACCTGCACCCACAGCCGACTGTCCACGTGCGGACGCCTGGCAAGGCTTGAGGTCCTTCCCCAACCACCCAGGACCTCTCCCCTTGCTCCTCTGAGGGCCCGGCCCCAGCATCTGGCAGTGACTGCCCCTCTCCCGTAGCTGAACTTCTCAGAGGACCTGTACTTTGAGAACAGTCTGCAGAACCTCAAGGTGGGCGCCCAGCGGAGCCTCAGGAAGCTTCGGGAAAAGGTGGACCCAAATCTGTGAGTGGCATCGCTGGTGCGGCATGGGCGGGGGGGGCCAGGGAGTGGCCAGTAAGGCGTGCAGGGCTGCCTGCCAGGCGGGGGACTGGATGCGTGGCTGGGGTCCAGTGCCAGCTGAGGGGTGCAGTCACTGGGCCTATCTTGGACAGAGTCCCCCATCACCCTCTGCTTTCTGGGGCCCAAGTCGCCTCCTCCTCAGGGACCCCAGGAAGGAACCAGATCTTGGGATAGGCCTGGGCCCTTGCTCTGGTGTGGCCAGGGTAGGCCCTGGTCCATCAAGGCAGAGAGAGCCCAGAGGGAGGGTCCCCGGAGAGGCGGCTCCCAGAGACCGGCTTGTCTATCACAGCTGGATCATCGGGGCGGCGGTGGTCAATGCGTTCTACTCCCCAAACCGAAACCAGATTGGTAAGTTCCTCCCCCTCCCTGCCTGCCCAGGCCCTTTGGTGCCAGAGTTGAAGGGGTGGCTTGCAGCCCCCTGCCCATCCCTTCCTCCTGGGGGCACCCCAGCCTGTTCTTGGAACATTCTCCTATGTCACCCCTTGCTGCCCCCGTGGGGAACACTCACTCCCGTGCCCATGAGCGGCTTCGGGAGGGACTTGGCAGGCGGCCCAGAGCCTTTCCTGCAGGCAGAACAGGATGGTGGGAGGAGGCCGGACTGAGGTCCTGGGTCTGCCAGGCACGAGCCCGCCCAGCCTCTGAACCTCCGTGTCTTCATCTGTAAATTGAGGGAATCCTGACCTCTGCCTCCCGGTCTGTGGGATCAAGTGTCAGAACCCCTGGCAGCGCCATCCCTGAGCCTGGCACACAGGAGATGTGTCCACTCACAGCTTATTCTTTGTCCCGCCCTTGGGGACAGTATTCCCTGCCGGGATCCTCCAGCCCCCCTTCTTCAGCAAGGAGCAGCCACAGGCCTTGAACTTTGGAGGCATTGGGATGGTGATCGGGCACGAGATCACGCACGGCTTTGACGACAATGGTGAGCGGCCGCCCCTCCAATCACACACGCCCTCCCCTCTCCGCGGAGAAGCAGCCAGGAAGGGGCCTGGGGGCGCTCCATTCAACCCCTTCACGGTTTCAGTGGGGACACCGAGGCCAGGTCCTCAGGGAGCTGTGGGGGCAGAGCAGGCTTTGAATGCCAGGCTGGGGCCCTGTCTGGGGGCACTGACTCCCAGCATGGAGGAGGGGACCCAGGGACTCCAGCCCATGACCCTGACTCCACCTGGCACTGGGCACTTCCCTCCCACGGCCTGTGACATGGGGACGACAACACTGCCCAATACAGCAGCGAAGCCCAGATCCCAGCCTGGGAGACTCTCCAGACGGCCAGCATCCTCCACCGGGGGGTGTGCTACCCCCGCCATGGCCATGCTGACCTCCGCCCCTCGGTGGGGACTGCCCTGCCTGGGACAGGGGCCCCAGCTGGTTTTCCCCTGTGGCTCGGCCATCCGGACCTTCCGTGGGCAGTCCTTGTCCCCAGGGACCACGTACTCCTCTCGCCTGGAACTTAGAGTTTGGGCATCCCAGGAGGAGCCCTTAAACCATGATGCCTCCAAGACCACAGGACCCAGGTGCTAGGCCCTAGCCTCAGGGGGTGGCATGGGAGACCACTGAAGCCCTCCTTCTCTGGGGGCTGTGTAGCCCCAGACAGCTGCTGCCCCTTGGAGCCCGCGATGCTCTTCCAGGCTCAGCCTACTCAGACTGTGGGCTCTCCGTACTGGGGCTGGCTGCAGGAGGGGCAGGAGCGGCCAGGCACAGTGGCTGCCGTGGGGCCAGGCACAGTGCAGCCAGGGGCATGTGGGCAGCCCTCCTCTGCCCCTGCCCAGGCCGGAACTTCGACAAGAATGGCAACATGATGGATTGGTGGAGTAACTTCTCCACCCAGCACTTCCGGGAGCAGTCAGAGTGCATGATCTACCAGTACGGCAACTACTCCTGGGACCTGGCAGACGAACAGAACGTGAGCGCTGCCACCAGCACCCAGGCTGCGGGGGTACCGGAGCCCCAGCCCTGGCCCTGAGGGAGAGGGAAGTCAGGGCCGGGGCTGCCCCAATCCTGTCTCCTGTGCGCAGGTGAACGGATTCAACACCCTTGGGGAAAACATTGCTGACAACGGAGGGGTGCGGCAAGCCTATAAGGTGGGGCCTGGCAGGGGAGGGGGCGTCAGCGCGGCAGGGGAGGGGGCGTCAGCGCGGCAGGGGAGGGGGTGCCAGTGCATCAGGGGAGGGGGCGCCAGCACGGCAGGGGAGGGGGCATCAGCGCGGCAGGGGAGGGGGCGTCAGCGCGGCAGGGGAGGGGGCGTCAGCGCGGCAGGGGAGGGGGCGCCAGCACGGCAGGGGAGGGGGCGTCAGCATGGCAGGGGAGGGGGCGCCAGTGCATCAGGGGAGGGGGCATCAGCGCGGCAGGGGAGGGGGTGCCAGCACAGCAGGGGAGGGGGCGTCAGCATGGCAGGGGAGGGGGGGCATCAGCGCTGCAGGGGAGGGGGGCACCAGTGCCTCAGGGGAGGGGGCGTCAGGGGCTCATTCGGGACAGGTGGTGTGCAGTGGGCTGTCTGGCCAGGGATCCCCCCCCGAGGGCCCAGCTCAGGGGTCCCTGAGTGACTGAGGTGGTGAGCGCTCATCCGTGGGGTGTGTGAAGGGCCCTTGCAGCAGCAGGACCCCCACAGGGGTAGGTCCTGGAGCCAGACCTCTGCTCTGCCCTGAGATCTGAGGGTTCTGGAGTCCAGGCTGGCAGGCCTGAGCTCAGCTCCTGTCTGGTGCCTGCAGGCCTACCTCAAGTGGATGGCAGAGGGTGGCAAGGACCAGCAGCTGCCCGGCCTGGATCTCACCCATGAGCAGCTCTTCTTCATCAACTATGCCCAGGTGGCAGCCGCAGTCCTGGTCCCACCATCCCCATGCTTCCCCACTCATCTCTGGAGGGCCCACTCTGGGGCACCTCCAGGGACCAGAGCCCAGCATGGAAGGCCCCTTGGGGGAAAAGCATGAGGGGCAGGGGGCGGGAGCTGGACAGGATTTCAATGCTGATGGGAGGAGGGGAGCACCTGCTGACTCCCCTCACCCCACCCTAGAAGGGGCAGCCTGGGGATAGTGGAGACCCTCCCCCACCCCTCCTGGCCACCCCACCACGCCACCTGTAGCCACGCCCCCAACATGCCCACAGGTGTGGTGCGGGTCCTACCGGCCCGAGTTCGCCATCCAATCCATCAAGACAGACGTCCACAGTCCCCTGAAGTACAGGCAAGTCTCCCATGCTCACAACCCCCTTGCCACCCACAACCCCCTCACCCCCACCCCAGTGGCCTGTAAAAGAAGAAAGCACAAAAAGTGGCTCAACAGAGACAGGTTTATTTTGGGAATAAACCTGAGAGGGGCTTCTGGCCGATTTCGGTCAGGGACATTCTCTTACAGACTAAGGGCATTTAAGGGTTTAGGAAGGGGGAGCCTACCGCAGGCTGCGAATGTTTCTGTGTGAAGGAGAGTTTTATTGCAGAGTTGGAATATCTCTGGCTGGAGGGGAGGTTATTCTCAGGATTGGCATGTTTCTGGTCAGATGGGGGTTTATCTCATGGTTGAAATGTTTCTGCTCATACTGACATGAGCCATTAGGCTGATGTTTTGGGCTGGTTTTTAATCACGGAGAACTTAAAATGGCCATGTTTGTCCAAGATGGCAATGCTCCTGCTGTCACACCCACCCACCCACAGGGTACTGGGGTCGCTGCAGAACCTGGCCGCCTTCGCAGACACGTTCCACTGTGCCCGGGGCACCCCCATGCACCCCAAGGAGCGATGCCGCGTGTGGTAGCCAAGGCCCTGCCGCGCTGTGCGGCCCACGCCCACCCGCTGCTCGGAGGCATCTGTGCGAAGGTGCAGCTAGCGGCGACCCAGTGTACGTCCCGCCCCGGCCAACCATGCCAAGCCTGCCTGCCAGGCCTCTGCGCCTGGCCTAGGGTGCAGCCACCTGCCTGACACCCAGGGATGAGCAGTGTCCAGTGCAGTACCTGGACCGGAGCCCCCTCCACAGACACCCGCGGGGCTCAGTGCCCCCGTCACAGCTCTGTAGAGACAATCAACTGTGTCCTGCCCACCCTCCAAGGTGCATTGTCTTCCAGTATCTACAGCTTCAGACTTGAGCTAAGTAAATGCTTCAAAGAAATCAGAGGCCTTGCTTGTCTGGGAGGGACCAGGGTGGGTAAACAGGTAGCAGTGGTCTTGGGCAAAACAGCTGCCCGGGGGTGGGAGAGAGTGACAGCTGGGAGCTGATGGGGAGGGAGCCAGTTCCAGTCAGGTCTCCTAGGGTCCAATGCTAGGGCCAGCAGTGACCAGGATGCCCCCAAGTGCCCACCCCCAGGGACCACACATTCAGATGCGGGGAGCCCCACTGGGGCACCGGGGGACCCAGAGAGCTGCAGCTGGGAACCTGAAATTTTAGCTTGGTGTAACTGAAAGCCAGAGGAGGGGCTGAACGCAAAGGGACGCAGTGGGTCACCTGCTATGCATTTTTAAATGGCCACTGCAAGGGTGGCATTGGGGGCAGGAAGGGAGCCGGGAGACCCACAGGAACCCACAGTGGTCCCCAGGTCTGGACTAGGGAGTGCAGAGAGGGCTGCAGTTGTCATCGGCCTGCATGGGAGGGGAGGGCCTGAGCAGGTAGTCTGACCTGGGAGGTAAGGGGCTCTGCTCTGGGCCTGTTAGGGTCCCCAGGGAAAGGTGGCCAAGAAGCTGGACACACCTAATTAGACTAAGACCCTCCCGGGCCGGCCGCCCCAAAGGCCATACCCAGCAGGTGCAAACAATGATTCTGACATCAGTAAAGAGCCTTGGGGCAGGCTGGCCCATCACCTGAGAGTCTCCAGGGTCCACCCACCCCACCAGGTGGAATCAAGCCCATCTCTGCCCTGAAAACCCAACTCTCCTGAGTGGCCCCCACCAGACACAGGCACTGACCCCGACCCTGCTGGAGCTGACCCCACGCTCCTCTCCTGACGTGGGCTTGGGTCTGTCGCCTTTGAAGGGAGTGACGGGGCAGTGAGGTTACCATCCCCAGTGCCCCACAGGCCAAAGGCCCAAGGTCTCCAGAGAAAGTCGCAGAGCAGGAAGATGACACCTGGGACTCACAGCCACCCTGCCCGCCCTGAGGGCCCAACAGTGAGCAAGGCGGGGGCTGTGGAGGATGCAGGGCTCGGAGCCTGCGAAGCAGTGCGTGGTCAGGAACTGCAGTTTTAATGGCTCGTTGCTGCCGGCGGATCAGGAGAGGTTCGGCATCCCGACCCAGCGCCTCCGGAACAGTTCTTCCAAGTGGACTTCCAGCACACCTAGGGCAGCAGACGCCACCCAGATCCTCGGAGGCCAGGGCCTTCGCCTCCCTCACACCTCTCTGTCACACTGTGGGGACAGCAGGGTCCCATGGGGCCGCTGGACACTGGATCAGACAAATGCCTGGAGGGCCCCCTTGGACAATCCCCAGCCCTCCCAAGGCTGAGAGGACACGCCTCTCTGCCCGCCACCCCATGTGTCGCCCCCACCTCTGAGGACAGTCCCAAGGTGCCTGTCCATCCAGCCATGCTGCCCTTCGGCCCCTCTCAGCCTGCCCCACTCTGCAAGTGGGGTCACAGTGGCATCCATATCCCAGGGCACAATTGGCATGATGCCCACAGCGCTGTGGCTCAGCTCCCAGCCAAGCCGAGTGCTCCTCCCAGGGGACCTAGGGGCAGGGCGTGGGCTGGCAGGCAGCGCCCCCAAGGCCCAGCTCACCTGAGGCGGGTCGCTGGCACAGACCTCCGCAGAGATGCCCAGGACCTGCAGGATGTGCTCCTTGGGGACGTAGTCGCCTGGGGACTTCTGGACGAAATGCAGGAGCACTTTATCACCACCTGTAGCAGCGGGCAGGCAGTCACGGCACCCCGGAGGCCGCCTGCACCTCACAGCCACATACCAGGAGGAGGGAGGGTAGGGCAGCCCTGGCCAGCCATATCCCCCACCCGGCTACCCAGATGAGTGAGCTGTTCTGCCACAGCCCCACTCAGCCCAGCAGACACGCAGAACCAGGCCACATTGCGGCGGAGGGGCTGTGATGAGACTGACAAGCCAGAGAGAGGGCCTGGGCTGGGCCACCAAGTTCAGCAAGGCCCTCCTTGAGGCAGTGGCCGAGGCCCCTCCCTCGACCCACCTTTGCTGACCACCAGCAGCCCTCCGCTCTGCAGCAGGTCCCCAGACAAGTTCCCCTGGATGCCAACAGCCTTGGCCTGTCAGGAGTGGGTACAGCCTGAGTCAATCCTAGAAGAAAGGCTCCTGGGAGCTCCCACCACCCCCCGGCCTGTACACCCTTGACCCGCACACACCTTGGCAGCCACATCACGCACGGGCTTCCCCAGAGCTGCTGGGAGGATGCTCAGGCTGTTGTACCTGCGAAGACACCAGGTCGCTTGGCCAAACTCCGGAGAAGCCTGGGTCCAGAGCCTGCTCCAGTGTCCATGAGACCAGTTCCTAGGTCAGGCCCCACCCCACCCACCCGCCTCACCAGGGCTCAGAGATGGCACAGGCGACCAGATCAGTAGCCAGCCCAGCCCACCGGCAGGTTGGACACCGAGCCCAGTGGCTGCTAGCCGAGGGTCCACAGAGGGTGCAGGGAGCATGGATGGGGCCCCAGGCTGGGTGTGCCCAGGGATCTGGCTCAGCTGGCAACTGCCAAGCAAAGGAAGCAGCCTGTGGCACAGACACCAGAAAGCTAGGATGGCCCCTGATGGGCCACGAGGCTCCACCCCACGAGGTGGTCTGGACACCGAGAGTAAGCCCCGGACGAGGTGGCTCATTACAGTCACCCAGCACCCAAGAGAAGGCCTGGCAGAAGGGCTGGTCAACAGTGCCACCAGAGCCGCCTTGCCCAGGAAGGCCCGAGTGGACAGCACCACAGAGGGCAGCAGGGAGAGGAGGTGGCAGGGAGCGGTGGGAACCCCTGGGCCCCCCACCCCACGCTACCCAAGGGTTCCCGCCCCCACTCACCGCTTGAAGCCTAGCTCCTTGTAAAGCTGCTTGCTCTCATCCAGGTAGAGCTCTGGAAAGCGGAAGCCACATGTGTGTGCCCCAGGCGCAGAACCAGCCCCCAACCCACTCACCACAAAGAATCGCCCTCCTCCTTCCGACCCTCTGTTCCTCTGCCCACCCTCCGTGCTCAGCCCACCCCCGCAGGGCAGGGAGGGGTAAAACGGGGCTGAGTGTCCCCCCTCCCCTCAGAAGAGGGGCTGAGTCCCAGAGGCAACAGGTGGAGCCGGCGGGGCAGAGCTCGTCCAGACTCTGCTGCTGGGCCCAGGTCTGTGCAGGGCACCACCCAGCCACCAGCTGCGGGGCGGGGAGGCAGGGAGAGATGAGGGACGCTGACCCGTGGGCATATCAAGGCCGCTCCAGCAGACAGAAGGGCCGGGGTTGGGCAGGAAAGGGCCCCGAACGCCCTGAGCTTAGGGAAGGGTATGTGCGCCGCCGCGGCGGGGAACAGGACGCACCTCCCGCGAAGTAGTCGCCGTCCAGGAACTCCTGCAGACCCAGGGCCTCGGGCCCTACGCCCACCAGGCGCACGCCGTGTTGGTCCAGGAGCCCAGCAAGGCTGCTGAGGTCCTGGGCGATCCAGCGGCACACCACGCACCCGAAGCGCCGCAGCCCGGCCACCACGCACGCGTGCTCCCGCCACAGGCTCCGCAGCTCCACGGCCTGCCGGGCGGCTGGGTCATGGGCGCGCCCCGTTGCCCCCAGCCCCGCCCAGGCCCCGCGGCCCCCACCACCCCATCGCTGCCAGGACGCCCGGGCAAGGAGCCAGGGACGCGCCCACCGCCCTGCGTCCACCCGGCCTCACCTCCCCGGTCACCGCATGCTTCAGGATGCACGCGCCCACGCGAGCAAGGTCCACCGTGCTCATGGCGGCCGCTGCCAGCCCTGGTTCCCGGCTCCCCGACTCCCTGTTCCCCGCTCCCGGCTCCTCGCTCCTGGATCCCCGCTCCCGGCTCATAGATCCAGCCCCAAGCCCCGCCCCGAGATGCCCCGGTCCCGCCTTTCTTGCTGCCGCCGAGGCCCCGCCCCTTCGGGCTCGTCTCCGCCCCGGGCCCGCCCCCAAGATGGCCGCAGCGCGCCCCGGCCACGCCCCCGACCGCACCCCGAGCCCTGCTCCGCCCCCTCGGATTCGCCCCTAGTCCCGCCTTGTTTCCCCTCCTACTCCAGGCCAAGCCTCGAGATCGCGGCGCCAAATCCTGGGTCCGCCTGCTTCGGTCCCTCCCGCCTCCTCAATCCGGGCCTTGCGGGACAGTTGCTGTCCCGCGTCCTGGTCCCGCCCCTAGCCCCGCCTCTCCGTTGGGCCGCCGACTTGGACCCCGTCGGCCATTGGCGCAGCAGGCGGAGCTGGGCGGTGCGGCCCTCGGTGCGCGGTGCGCCTGTGCGGAATGCGGCGGGAGGCGGGCAGCCGGCTCGGGGTCGTCCCGGGGGGCGCCGGGGAGCGGCTGGGTACGGTGGGCCCAGGGGTGGTCCAGGGAGCGGCGGGGGTCTCCCTGCGGCCTCGCGCGAGACTGGGCTGGACTCAGGGTTGAGGGGAGAGGGTGAGCGCAGGGGTCGCGGGCATAGGGGACCGCGGGCCGGGGTCTCCCGCGGGGCGGGGGTCCCAGCAGTGGGGGGCGGGGGGGTGCGAGGGCTTAGCCTTTCCACGTGGCCTGGTTTTCGCTTGAAAATCCCCGCAAATGCGGCAGCATCTCAATTATACATGGACGCGATGTCTTTAATCATGAAATACTGTTCATGTCGTGCCGGTTGCATATCAGCTTTTAACCCGCCAAACCTTGGGGCGAAATAGACCCCGGGGAGATAAGCACAGCTCCCAGAAGTGCACTGCGGGTCAGGTGCCTGGCAGATGCGTCCTGTTCCTCCCCCACTGCAGCCCTGTGATAGCTTTTGTCACCGAGTTGGGGTGAGGGCCGGGTCACAGCTTCACCCGGCCTGGGCTCCCACCTGAGCGGGCCCGGCCTGGCAGAGTCTGTGCTGCTGGCACGGGTCCTCACTCCCCAGGCCCCAGGACAGCTCCAGGGGCCTGGGCGGGCTGGAGAAGGAAGGGGGAGCCCCCACACTGTATTCCAAATAAAGAGAGGCCCCGGGGGGGTGCTGCTGCTTCGCCTGTGCCCTCGCCCTGGGGTGGTGAAGGTCCAGACTGCGAAACGGAAGTCGTCACTATGTCAGAAAGGGCAAAAAGCAAAACAAGGAAGGGGAAGCACTAGGAGGGAGGAGCTGTGGCAGCTCCAGAGCCCAGGAGTGCAGCCCCCAGAGACCAGGGCTACCCCTCTACCGTCTCGGGCTGTGCAGGAGGGGCCCTCTACCCTCTGGAGTTGTGCAGGAGGGGGCCCCTCTACCATCTGGGGCTGGGCAGGAAGGGCCCCCCCCCACCGTCTCAGGCTGTGCAGGAGGGGGCCCCTCTACTGTCTCGGGCTGTGCAGGAGGGGGCCCCTCTATCTTCTGGGGCTGTGCAGGAGGGGGCCCCTCCACTGTCTCAGGCTGTGCAGGAGAGGGCCCCTCTGCCGTCTGGGGCTGTGCAAGCAGTGAGCAAGCTGCCGCCTCCTTGGGAGCTGGGATCCCAGACGGGATTCAGCCATTTTCAGAGACGTTCCCAGAAACGAGAATGCGAGATCAATTCCTCGCCTGGCATCTCCCACCAACGCCATCGCTGCAGGAGCCTCACTGGAAGCCAACGGGCAGAGGAGAGTGGGAAAGGAGCTTGCAGCCTCCCAGCTCCAGTGATGCAGAGCAGAAGGTGGCTGGGAGGCTGAGAAGCCATAAGAAAATAGCAGGGCCAGCCCATGTGGCCGCTCAGATACATGCTATGTGTGTGTTTGCATATGTAGGGGCTGAAAAACTCCACCTCCATCCTTTTGAGGTCCTGGCTGGGCCCAAGAGTTAAATCAAGATAAGACAGATCATCATGCCAGTGTATTTGATTAAAGTTGGATGTGGCTCAGGAGCCCTCCTAAGGAAGTGAAGACCCAGTGAAGCAGACTCAGTCGTGTGCTGAGTTGGACAGAGAACAGTGAGGTTTGAGGAAGCAGCTAGATGATGTGGGGGGCTGAAAAGGTGAGAGGCATTTTATCAGGGACTGTACAGCATTTGCTGGGTCTCAGCTTCTCATCCTTGAGGATCAGAGCTTTCTAGTGTAGGGAGAGCATCTTTCACCTGGGAATTTCATCTTCTGCTTTTAAGAAACACAAGAGAGATCAGAATGATCTTTTTGCACCTGTTATTGTTTTAACTGCCTTTAATTCCTAATAGTGACTATGCCAGAGCAGCCTATTTTGGGGTGGCACCTTCTTAACTCTGCATACTGTACATATCTGGCACACATCATTTAAAGTAAATAGACAGGCTTGCTTACTTTTTACTCAAGTGCAACATAATTCAGAAAAGTGCAGACATGCTCAGTAGACAGCTCCTTCTACACGCCTGTTGACTTTCTTTCATCAATGACATATTGGTCGGCTCTTGCTAGGCTGTGTTGCCAAAACAACTCGCAAGCCTGGGTCGATCACAGCAACCAAGTTTCCCCTCCCACTCAGGTTTCTTGTCGGCCACGGGTGGCTCAGCTTCTGATGCCTCCTTCGTTCTGGGGTCCAGGCTGAGCAAGCTGTGGCTCTCTGGAACATGCCGTTCTCCTGACAAGGGAGGACATGGAGGAGAGATGGAGAAACCATGCCACACTCTCCCAGCGGCCATGCACAGCTGGGATGTGTCGCTTGCACTCCCATGTCACTGGCCAGAGCAAGTCACATGGCCAAGGAGGGGCAGGGAAGAGCACTTCCTCCTCCAGGTGGTGCCAGCTCTGGGACTGGGTTTTAGCTTTCCTTACAAAGGAAGAGCTGGCCCGTTACCGCAGCAGGGATGCTGACAGAAGACGTGAAACTCCGGGGTCAGAGACAAAGGACTTTTTCATTCATGGCGTGGCAGGCAGGTGCTCACCTGTGTGTTTGGTCTTATCCCCTTGCCCCCAAATTCCACGGGTGCCATGTGGGTAGGCCTGGGTGGGCACTGCACAGTCAGTAGGTTTGCGTGGCCACTGAGGAGCCCTGCACTGGGGGAGTCAGCTGTTTCTGCAGCAAGCAGTGAGCAAGCTGCTCTTTGTCCCTAGAGGACTCTCAGGGCAAACCACCCTGAGAAATGGGGGAGGGTACTCAGGGCCTGCATTCCTGGCACACCCTGTGAGAGGTGGGGGGCACGAGACACTCGTGGAGGACTGCCCTCTTAACAGGAGAAGCTGCCAGTACCAGAGGCCAAAGAGACTTACCCAGAGATTTCACCGGCATCCCTGGGCTGCCTGGTGCCACATATGTGAAAACAGTCATTTCATGTAAGCTTGTCCACTCAGTAGCATGAAGGTGGGAGGGTGTCTTAGTCATAGATGGGGTGGCTTCTAAAGAACAGAAATTGATTTCTCACATTTCTGGAGGCTGGAGGTCCAAGATCAAAGCGCCGGCATATTCAAGGTCTGGCGAGGACCCCTTCCTGGTTCCTAGATCACTTCTTCATGCTGTGTCCTCACAGGGTGGAAGGCATGAGGGGGCTCTGGGGGGCCTCCTTTTTAAAGGCACTAACTTTGGCCGGGTGTTTTGGCTCACGTCTGTAATCCCAGCACTTTGGGAGGCCGAGGTGGGCGGATCACCTGTAGTCAGGAGTTCGAGACCAGCCTGGCTAACATGGTGAAACCTTATCTCTACTAAAGATACAAAAATTAGCTGGACGTGGTGGAGCATGCCTGTAATCCCAGCTACCCGGGAGGCTGAGGCAGGAGAATCACTTGAACTTGGGAGGCAGAGGTTGCAATGAGCCAAGATCATGCCACTGCCTCCCAGCCTAGGCGACAGAGTGAGACTTCGTCTCAAAATAAAATAAAATACATAAATAAAAGCACTAACCCATTCCCGAGGGCTCCACCCTCACTACCCACCTAAGCACATGCCGAAGCCCCACCTCATAATGTCATCACATTAGGGATTCGGTTTCAGCATATGAACTGGGGGAGGGGGCACAAATGGGGGAAACTGGCTCCACTGTGTGAAAATTGTCAATACTAAGGCAGAGTCACTTATGTCAGGACCCAAGCAAAACGGAGCTGGGAGGCCTCAACGGAAGGTCCCTCATGCTCGGGTGCCTATGATGAGAACTGTTACAGGGACTCCGACAGCACACAACATTCCAGATCAGCTGCTCCTATGAAGACATCTCCCCCGCAACAATCATGTTACCCATGAGTAATCACCAACCCTGCAATAAGCTCCTGTACCCAGGGAGGTTTATTCCAAAACAATCTGTGTAGACTTCCTCTTCCCACCCCTAAAAGAAAGATACACCTACGGTCCCCCTCAGCATGCATATCCCAGATTGCAATCCCCTGCCATCCCCCAGTAAACTTTATTTGGGAGAGCCAGTCTCTCTGTTGTTTATTTTACATTGACAAGTTGCAGCATCGTGGCCAGCAGCAGAAGTCCTACTAGGCTTCTTGAGTCTGTGGGTTGGTATCTTTAATCAGTTTGGGAATTCTTTTATTTTATTTGTTTGTTTGTTTGTTTTGAGATGCAGTTTTGCTCTTGTTGCCCAGGCTGGAGTGCAACGGCTCGATCTCAGCTCGCTGCAACCTCTGCCTCTTGGGTTCAAGCGATTCTCCTGCCTCAGCCTCTGGAGTAGCTGAGATTACGGGTGCCCACCACCCATGCCCAGCTAACTTTTGTATTTTAGTAGAGACAAGGTTTCACCATGTTGGTCAGGCTGGTCTTGAACTCCTGACTTCAGGTGATCCACCCGCCATGGCCTTCCAAAGTGCTGAGATTACAGGCGTGAGCCAGCGTGCCCGGCTGGGAATTCTTTTTTTTTTAACACTATCTTATGATGTCTCATTCTTTCCTTCCTTCCTTCCTCTTATTCTGGGAAGCCCCATACGCATATATTAGATCTTTTAACTAATGCGTCTTGTTGAGTCGGAGTCACATAAGTCTCCTGTTCTCTGTTGTGCTTTTCTTTCCCACGGGTATTTCAGTGGCTGTTTGCACCGTTTCTGTTGCCCTGTCTCTGTCTCCCCTCCATGGTCCACCTGCCACGGGGTCCAGTCTGCCATCACCCGTCTCATGACACTGACCTGCAGCCCTGGGATGTCCATTTGGTTCTCTCGTTTAGGTTCCAATCAGCTGTGGAATTCTCCATCCAGAGATCCCGTTAGACGGCATTTCCTGTTTTTAGTAACACATGAATGAGTTATTTTAAAATACCTGTCTACTGACACTCACATCTGAGGTTCTGCTTCTGTTGCCTCTGTTTTCTTTTCTTTTCTTTCTTTTTTTTTTTTTTTTTTTTTTTGAGACGGATTCTTGCTCTGTCGCCTAGGCTGGAGTGCAGTGGCACAGTATCAGCTCACTGCAACCTCCACCTCCCGGGTTCAAGCGATTCTCCTGCCTCAGCCTCCCAAGTAGGACTACAAGCGCGCACCACCACACCTGGCTAATTTTTGTATTTTTAGTAGAGACGGGGTTTCACCATGTTGGCCAGGCTGGTGTTGAACTCCTGACCTCAGGTGATCCACCCACCACGGCCTCCTAAAGTGCTGGGATTATAGGCATGAGCCACCACACCTGGCCAGCCTCTCTTTTCTTTTGATAATGGCACACACCTTCCTGCCTCTTCTCGTGTTTACATCTCTGTTCTAGCCCTGGGCCCTGCAAACCTTAGGGGAGGTGTGCCCAGTACACAAACACACGTGTGTGCACAAAGATAGGTCACTGTCAGGGCGTGGGGAGATCGCAGGACCTGCATCAGACCAGGGCTTATTCAGATGCTGGCTCTGGCACCGCCCAGCTGGGTCACTGTGGGTAAGTCACCACCTTGTCTAAGCCTCAGTTTCTTCATCTGTAAAACAAACCCTGGTAACCACCTTTGCCAACCGCACGCTCAGTTATCAGCCACTCTGGCCGGCTCGCCTTGCTTCTGAGCAGCAGGAATCGCAGCCCCACTGTGGCTGAGAGGATGCTGGAGCGCTCCAGCTCCATCCCAAATGGCCCCTGGCCCCTGCCATCCTGCCCATCCCCCTCCAGCAAAGCCCAGGATGTCCCTATGAGAAGCCTCACAGACTCAACCAGGTGGGCAGGCTGCAGAGGACCCCTGGGAAAGAGCAGCTGTGTTTCCCCAAGTCCCACCCTATATACACCAAAGATGGGATTTGATCAACTTTCTTTCTTTTATTATTATTATTATTATTATTTTTGAGGCAGGATCTGGCTCTGTCACCCGGGCTGAAGAGCAGTGGTGCAATCTCAGCTAACTGCAACCTCTGCCACCGAGGCTCAAGTGATCCTCTCACCTCAGCCTCCCAAGTAGCTGGGACTACAGGTTCCGCCTGGCTAATTTTTGTATTTTTAGTAGAGATGAGGTTTCATCATGTTGGCCAAGCTGGTCTTGAAGTCCTGACTTCAAGCAATCCACCTGCCTCGACCTCCCAAAGTGCTGGGATTACAAGCTGAGCCACCGTGCCCAGCCTCAAAACTATTTTGTAATTGTGATAAGATATACATGACATAAAATTCACCACGCGGAGCATTTTAAGATCAGTTCAGTGGCATTAGGTACATCCACATTGTTGCAGCCATCACCACCATCCATCTCCAGAATTTGTTGACAATCCTAAACTGGAACCCTCACCTATGAAACACTAACTGCCTCCCCCAGCCCCTGGCACCCACTGCTCTACTTCCTCTCTATAAATTTGACAATTGTAGGCTCCTCATAGAAGTGGCATCATAATGGCCTTTGTCTTCTATAAATGGCTTATGGCACGTGGCATAAATTCCTCAACATCCATCCATAGCACAGCCTGTGTTCGATCTCCTTTCCAAGGCTGAGCACCTTCCACTGGACCTCTCGGCCACATTTTCCTTATTCTTGTACCTGTTGATGGGCTTTTGCGTGGCGTCTACATTCGAGCTCTTGTGGACACTGCGGCTGTGAACCTGGGTGTGCAAATATGTGCTCAAGTCCCTGTTTTCAGTCCTTTGGGATCTATACCCAGAAGCGGAGTGGCTGGATCACATGGTCATTGTAGTTTTAATTGTTAGAGGAACTGCCCTAATGGTTTCCACAACATCTGCACCATGTCCCATTCCCGCCAGCAGTGCACGGGAATTCTAATTTCTCCCCTTCCTCAGCAACAATTATTCCTCTCCAGGCCGGGCACGGTGGCTCATGCCTGTAATCTCAGCACTTTGGGAGGCCAAAGTGCGTGGATCACCTGAGGTCAGGAGTTCAAGACCAGCCTGGCCAACATGGTGAAACCCCGTCTCTACTAAAAATACAAAATTAGCGGGGCATGGTGGCAGGTGCCTGTAGTCCCAGCTACTCGGGAGGCTGAGGCAAGAGAATGCCTTGAACCCGGGAGGCAGAGGTTGCAATGAGCCAAGATCTCGCCACTGCACTCCAGCCTGGGCGACAGAGCAGGACTCTGTCTCAAAAAAAAAAAAAAAAAAAAAAAATCTTATTCTCTGTATTGGGGGCTTTAAAAGAAGCCGTCCATCCCGCTGGGCCTGAGGTGGTCTCCCCGTTGTTCTGATTTGCGTTTCCCATTTCCCAAATGCTTGGTGGCACCGAGCCTTGTTTCAGGGGCATGGTGGCCATTTGTGTGTCTTCTCTATTCTAGTCCTTTTCCATTTTTTCACCCAGTGGTTTGTTTTTGATGTTGTTGGGGTGTGAGGGTTCTTTACAAATTCTAGACGGAATGCCTTATCTGATACATTTCCTCCCAGTCCATGTGTTGCCTTTCATTCTATTCATTCTTGTTTGTAAAGCCCCATGTATCTATTTTACACGTTTCTGCCTGTCCTTTTCCTGTCATACCCAAGAAATCAAGAAATCACTACCAAGTCTAACATCAAGAGGCTTGTGTTTTCCTTTGAGGGTTTTAGAGTGTTTTGTTTGTTTGTTTGTTTGTTTTGAGACGGAGTCTGGCTCTGTCGCCCAGGCTGGAGTGCAGTGTTAGCCAGGATGGTCTCTATCTCCTGACCTCGTGATCCACCCGCCTCGGCCTCCCAAAGTGCTGGGATTACAGGCGAGGGTTTTAGAGTTTTAGGTCATAATTTAAAACAAGCCCCAGCTCCAGCAGAGTGGAGCTGCCGCCAGGGGTCACAGCCCAGCGTCTCAAACGCAGTGGTGCACAGACTAGGGAAGGCCCAGGCCTGGGTGGGTCTTTCCGCAGGATCCTGGAATGTTGCTTAGGGGAGGCTGAGACCAGACTGGCAGTCACCTGTCTGGGAAAGCACCAGGCCCTGCGGAAGTCCCCATGGTGACAGTCACGTCCTGGCCATGTGGGCGGGTGTGGGGGAGGGACCGCAGGGAGGCGGAAGTCCTTGTTTTTTCCTGCAGTGGGCACGGGCAGGAGCTGAGCAGCCCGAAGCCATGAGTCGCTGTCACTGCTCTTTCTGTGCCTGGTGCAGCCCCAGCTCATGGGGTCTGGGCCACCTCTGATCCCATGCCCCCCACTTCACACTCGGGGTTCTGGCTTCCCTGCTGTGAGCCTGTCTCTCCTCCGTGGGACAGGCCAGCCTGGGCAGCCATCCCAGTGCTCACTGCCCAGCATATAGTGGGTGCCTCATAAATGTGGGCTGAACAGAGCCTGCCCCGGGCCCCCTGACTTCCAGACATAAAGTAGGTGCTTCATAAATGCAGGCCAAACAGAACCTACCCTGGGGGCCTCCACTTCCCTTTGATGGGGGCAGAGACCCTCTGCCGGGCAGCGGCCACCCAGTGCCTGGGACAGGTGCCCCTTTCTCCCACCCTGGCCTATCTCGGGGCATCTGAGGGAGGACGGGGCTGTGCCCCCCACTTCACCCTCGAGGGTCTGGCTTCCCCACCTGTGAGCTTGTCTCTCCTCCGTGGGAGGAGCCGCACCGTCGTTTTCACTTTCCATGATGACCGTTGAGTGAGAGAAGATGACGGCAGCTCCTGCGTTTAAAAAGGAACCATCCGCGTAACTGCCGCAGGCAGGGCCCGTGCTCGGGCAGTGAGGCCTCGGCCCTGAGAAGGCCCGGACCCCACAGGCCTGGCCCTGGCTGAGAGGGAGTTGGAGTCCCCCGCCTGGGGCAGCCCCTCTGCACCTGGGGTGGTGGAGCAGGAGCTTGGCTGCAGGCGGGGCTTTCCTCCCAGCTCTGGGAGCCACCTTGCTGCAAACGCTGTGACTTCCGAGAGCCTCCGTCTCTGTTTGACACTGTTAATCCTTTAGGTGACTTTTTTTTTTTTTAGATGGAGTTTTGCTCATCGCCCAGTCTGGAGTGCAATGGCGCGGTCTCAGCTCACTGCAACCTCTGCCTCCCAGGTTCAAGTGATTCTCCTGCCTCAGTCTCCCAAGTAGCTGGGATTACAGGTGCCCAACACCACGCCCAGTTAATTTTTGTATTTTTCGTAGAGATGGGGTTTCACCATGTTACTCAGGATGGTCTCAAACTCCTGATCTCAGATGATCCGCACGCCTCCACCTCCCAAAGTGCTGGGATTACAGGCGTGAGCCACCATGCCTGGCCTAGGTGACTTTTCATGGTGAGATAACACACAGGCATGGTGAGCAGCATGGCAGAGGACCTGTGTGCAGGGCCCTGTCTCCCGCCGGGGAATCCTTCATCTGGGAAATCTCCGCTGCGGGACAGGGATGCTGTGTCGTCAGGACGCAGCGTCTCTCCAGGGCACCCGGGCCTCCTCTGAGCCTCTTTGCGCTCTTTGGCTGCGTGCTTTCTTCCCTGTGGCAAAAGGTACATGACGTTTTATTGACCATTTCAGCCATTGGCAAGTGTGCAAATCAGTGGCTTTAGTCCATTCGCAATGCAGCTGGACCCCACCCTTTCCTGATTCCCGCAGGCCAGGGCTGAGGGCGGGGAGGGGCCTGTGCAGCAGCCTGAGACCGGCTGTCCAATGGCAGAGCTTCCTTCTGGGAAACCATGGGTCCCCTGGGGCCCCATGCTGGAACCCCAGCAATGGTGGTTCACGTGTCTCTCCATCTCACTTCCCGTGCAAAAGCGACACAGGCGGGTACAAACCCAAACAGTGCAGACATGGAGGAGACAGAAAAGTGAAAATGGTTTCTGAGCCCCTCCAGCCGCCCTCTGGGCACACCAGCCTGGAGTTCTTCAGACACAAGCACTCCCTGCAGCCAGCGTAGTTGGTGCTCACTGGAGGGCTGGCCAGGCCTGGGAGCTGATCCTCTCAGCAAAGTTCAGCCCCAGGGATGAGCTCAGCCGGAGAAGGAGACCTCTTTGCCTCTGGGGCTGCTGCCCTGGTGGAGCCACGCCGGGAACCCGAATTCCAGCCGAGACAGTTCTGGACCCAATTGTGTCTCCCCTGATTTTCTGTGTGGAGACTTAAGCCCCAGTGATGCTGCATTTGGAGGTGGACTTGTAGGGAGGGAGAGACACCAAGCGCCCTCTCTCTGCCCTGGCCAAGGGGAAGGCCGGGTGAGGACATAATGAGAAGGTCCCTTCTGCAAGCCAGGAAGAGACGCTGCCTGGAACCAACCCTGCCTGCGCTGGCTCCGGGACCTCTCGCCACCAGGACTGTGGGAAAATGCTGCCCATGGCTTCAGCCACTCAGTCTGTGGGACTTTGTCCTGACCAGTTGAACAGATTAACACAGCCTAAAAAAGTGTACACATGTGGGCAAACATACATACACAGAGAAGCAAACAGTGCTCGGGGGAGGGGACACCAGACCTTGAGGAAGTGAACCCAGGGCAGGGCTGGGCCGGGAGTGGCTGGGGTGGGGAGACCTGGGTTTGCCGGAGCCCGCGGTGGAGCAGGTGGAATGCGACCTCCTCAGAGCCTGTGACTATCAGGGAAGGAGCGGCCCAAGGAGGCCCGAGCAGTCTGCCAGGGGCAGGGCCCCTATGGGTGTCAACATCTTCTGAGAGTTGGGCACAGCCTGGACTTTTCCCAGGGTGGGGCCGGACCTCCCAGGGGCTTCGGGGCTGGGCCAAGACTCCTGGATTCATCAGGCTGCAGCCACACTGGGGTTGTGGGCCACGGGTCTGTTCCGTGCAGACGGACCCAAGGGATGGACAGACATAGGACAGCCTGGTACCAATTCCCACTTGGAAACATCACCTGCTTCAGGGTCCGTATGACGTCCAATAAAGTACACCCGCTGTGAGCCTGTGAGCCTTGAGTCTGGCAAGTGCCTGCCCTCACATAACCACCATCACTTTTGTGATGAAGACATTTCCAAGAAAGTTCCCTTGTTGAGCTTCTATGGACTGAATGACGTTTCCCCCAATTCACAGGTCTAAGCCCTACACCCCAGTGTGACTATGTTTGGAAATGGGGCCCTCAAAGAACTGATTAAGGTGAAGAGACGTAATGATGGCCAGCACTACACAGGAGGAATGGTGTCCTTATAGGAAGAAGAGGCGCCAGTGTCCTGGGGGCAGAGGGACCACCCTGTGAGGACATAGGGAGCAGGTACCATCTGCAGGCCCAGGAGGGAACCAACCCCACCTGCCCCTGCATCTTGGACTTCCAGCCCCCAGAACCATGACAACATTGCGTTTCCATTTCTTGAGCCCCCAAGTCTGTGGCCCTTTGCTTTGTTTTGACACCCCAGCAACATGAGCCCCTTCCCAACCCCTCCCCAGCCCTGGCCACATCATCCTTGACCTCTCTCTCCCAGCAGGTTAGATCTGCCTGTCCCAGAATTTCACCTGAATCACAAAGCGTGGCGCCTCGGGGCCTGGCTCCCTTCACGTGGCCTGATGTCTGCATATTCATCCGCCGTGCAGTGTGTGTCCACGGTTCATTTTGTGTTGCCACGTAGCATCTCATTGTGTGGCCCTAGCCCAGTGTGTTAATCCGTTCACCTGCTGGTGGGTGTTGCAGTGGTTTCCAGCTCTTGGTTATCACCGAGAAAGTGACTGTGAACTTTCGCACACACGTTTTGCTGAGGACAACTCCTTCCATTTCACTTGGTTACTAGGAGTGGAGTTGCTGGGTCCTAGGGAAGGTGTGTGTTTCTCTCTAAAAGAATTTGCCAAACCGATGTCCAAAGCTGTACCATTTCAGGCTCCTGCCAGCAGCACGTGGGAGCTCTAATTACCCCATGTCCTTCCCACACTTGGTATGGTCAGAACTTTTCCTCTCCATCACCGTGACGGGTGTGGAGTGGAATCTCACAGTGGTTTAACGTCATTTCCCGAATGACTGTGCATGCTGACCACCCTTTCATGGCTTTGGTGAAGTTCAAATCTTGCCCATTAAAAAACAATAGTGCTGTTTGTCCTCGTATTGACTTGTAAGAATTTTCTCAGAGTGTTGGAATTGTCACCCAATGCGTGGTTTGCCTTTTCATTTCCTGGAAAGCATACTTCCAAGAGCAGGAGTTGCTAATGTCAATAAGTCCCAATTTCAAACATTTTCTCTCGTAGCTCTTGTGTTCTGCGTCCTGTCTAAGAAATCTTTGCCCACGTCCAGGTCACAGATATTTTCTCCAATGTTTTTCGCAGGAAGTCTTATAGTTTGAGCTTTACATTCAAGCCTATCGTTCGTTTCAAGCTAATTTTTTGTGTCGTGTAGGTAAAGATTAAGGCCATTGTCCCCTGTCATTTATCCAGTATTCCAGAAATTGTTTGCCAAAAAGACTACCTTCTTCACATTGCATTACCTTGACACCTCTGTCAGAAATGCTTGCATCATCTGTGAATGGGTCTCTCTCTGGCCGCTCCTGTTTCATTGACCTATTGGCACGCCTCATGCCCGCCCCACTCTCTCTCAATGGCTGAAGCTCTACAGTAAGTCTTTAAGTCAGGAAATGAAAATACTCCAACTTCGCTCTTCCTTTTCACTATTATTTCGGCTGGTAAATGTCCTGTCTGTTTTCATATACATGTTTAGAATCAGTTTCTCGATTTCGACGACCAAGCCTGCTGGAATGTTGACTGGGATTGCATTGGTCCATTTGGGGGACAATGGGTATTTTCCTCATACTTGGTCTTCTGATGTATCCACATGCCATGCCTTTCCAGTTATTAGAACTTCTTTCACTTCTCTCGACAACGTTTTCACTGGCCTTGCGGGTATTTTGTTAAATTTCCCCTAAGCATTTCCTGTTTTTTGATGCAAATATGTTCTTGTTTCCCTTATACTTCAAATTCCAATGTTTAGTTTTTAAAATATTGGCCTTGCATCTTGTGACCTTGATAATAAAGTGACTAGTTCTCACAGGCATTTTGTCGATTTCTTAGGACTTTTATACACATGAGCACATTCTCTGCAAAGAGGCAATGTCTTTTTCCCCCTTTGTGTCCAATCTCTATGCCTTCCATTTCTTTTTCTTGTCTTATTGCACTGGCTAGGACCTCCAGTACCATGTTGAGTGCAGGTGGTAGGATGGGAGTCCTTGCCTGGCTCCTGACCTTTAGAAAGACACATCCTGTCTCACCTGCAGACTTGAGGCATGGGGCGACTCTGCATGCCATCTCCTGGGCTCAGCTTCTGCACCACTCCCTGGTCTCTGCAGCTCTGTCTTGTAATTTCCAGCTGCAATCCTTTTGCTTTTACCCAGCCCATTTCTCTTTTGTGTGTGTGTGTCTTTTTTTCCCCTTTTTCTGCAGAAGAGGGTCTCTCTATATTGCCCAGGCAGGTCTTGAACTCCTGGGCTCAAGCTGTCCTCCCACCTCTGCCTCCCTAAGTGCTGGGATTACAGGCATGAGCCACCGCACCTGGCTTAACCAGCCCATTTCTTAAAATGTAAAGTGGGTTTCTTGTAGTCAGCCTTTAGTTGGCTGTTGGTTTTGTATCTGATATGGCCATTTCTGTATTTAATTGGACTATTTAGGCCATTTATATTCAAAGTCATTACCTATACAGCTGGATGTGGGCACACCATCTTTCTATTATTTGCTGTTTCATATTTCTGATTTCCCGTTGTCCTACCTTCTGTTTGATTATTTCTGTAGTATTTCATTTCATCCCCATGGTTGCCTTCTTAGTGATACATCTTTGTTTTCCTTATTTAGTGGTTATTGAAGGGTTTGTGACATCCATCTGCACTTATCACAGCCTATATTCAGGTTGTGTGACCACTAAACATGCCTGCACCTTCCCACGCAGCGGGAAATGCAGAAGAATCTCACCAGCACACACTTGCCTTTCCCTTTCATAACTTATACTACTGTCATAGGTTTTAATTGTATATGCTTTAAATGTCACAATGCATCACTAACATATTTGCGTTAAGCATTTTATTATTTTTGAAGATATTTAAAAATGAGAAAAAAATTTCCTCCCACATTTGCCATTTCTTTCATCCATAATTCCTTTGAGCAGATTTCAATTTCCACATGAGGCCAGGCAAGGTGGCTCACGCCTGTAATCCCAGCACTCTGGAAGGCCAAGGTGGGCGGATCACCTGAGGTCAGGAATTCGAGACCAGCCTGGCCAACATGGTGAAACCCCATCTCTACTAAAAATACAAAAATTAGCCAGGCATGGTGGTGCACACCTGTAATCACAGCTACATGGGAGGCTGACGGAGGAGAATCCCTTGAACCCAGGAGGCAGACGTTGCAGTGAGCCAAGATGGCACCACTGCACTCCAGCTTGGAGAAAGAGTGAGACTCCATCTCAAAAAAAAAAAAAGAAACAATTTCCCTATGAAAAAACTTCCTTGTGCTTGAAGAAAGTCCTTGGATGTTTCTTGTCATGCAAATCTGTCTGCTGCTGAGAAATTCTCTCAGCTGTCAGTATGTCCTCAGTCTTTGATTTGCTTTCATATATATATTTGAGATAGGGTCTCACTCTGTCACCCAGGCTGGAGTGCAGTGGTGGGAGCTTGGCTCACTGCAACCCCTGCATCCCAGGTTCAAGCGATTCTCATGCCTCAGCCTCCAGAGTAGCTGGGACTATAGGCATGTGCCACCATGCCTGGATAATTTTTGTATTTTTAGCTGAGATGGGATTTCACCATGTTGGCCAGGCTGATCTCAAACTCCTGACTTCAAGTTATCCGCCCGCCTCAGTCCCCTAGACTGGGCCCAGCCTCCAGTTCATTTATTTTTGTAGCTTAATAGACAAGGTCTTGCTCTGTTGCCAGAGCTGGCCTTGAATCCTGGGGCTCAAGTGATCCTCCTGCCTCGGCCTCCGAGTTGCTGGGTCCACAGGCGGAGGCCACCGAGCGTGGTCTATTTTTGACAGACAGATTCACTGGGTTTGGAGTTCAAAGGTGAAATGTTCTTTCAGCATTGTAAAAATGTTTTGCTCACCTTCTGACCTGAACTGTTCCTGGGGACAAGTCCGCACGGCCCTTATCTTTGCGTCTTTGTACCCAAAGGTGGCCTCACCTGACCCCGGTGTCCAGGTCCCCTCTGTGTCCCTGGTTCCTGGGCATTGATTAGGATTTGCTGTGCAGTGCATGCCTCTCTATTTACCCCTCTTGGGGTCTGTTGAGCTTTCTGCATTTGTGGGATCACAGTTTTCTTGTAGTTTAGAAAACTTTCACTGCTTTTTCTTCAAATGATTTTCTGTTCCTGCCTCTTTCTGTTTCTCTGAGACTCTAACTGCACTTCTGTTAGGCAGCTCGATATTTTCCAGGAGATCTTTGAGAATACGTTCATTTATTCATTTTCTGTGTGTTTTTCATTTGGGGTAGATTCTGATAGTATATCTTCAAGTTCACTGGTGTTTCCTTTTGAGCTGTCTAATCTGTTGTTAATCCTCCTGTTTTTGTTTTTGTTTTGAGGCAGGGCCTCCTCTGTCGGCCAGGCTGGAGTGCAGTGGTGTGATCATGGCTCTCTGCAGCCGTGACCTCCGGGGCTCACGGGCTCAACTGATCCTCCCTCCTCAGCCTCCCAAGTAAGTGGGACTCCAGGTGTGCGCCACCAGGCCTGGCTAATTTTTGTCTTTTTTGGAGAGATGAGGTTTTGCCTGTGCACAGGCTGGTCTGGAACTCCTGGGCAGATCCTCTTGCCTCAGTCTCCCAAAGTGCTGGGATTACAGGTGTGAGCCACCACACCTGGCCTAATCCTACTGTTATTGGCTGAACAGGATCCCTCCAGAATTCACGCTAAGAATGGGATGGGATGAAGAGATTGGACTGTAAAGAGGTGACTGGCTGAATGAGGCCATATGGGTGGGCCCTGATCCAGAATGACTGGAGTCCTCCTCAGACGAGGAAGTTTGGACAGAGACACGTCAGGGAAGTGCACACACAGAGAAGCGACTGCGTGAGGACACACGGAAAGATGCCATCTGCAGACCACAGCCGAGCTCCCAGGGAGCGAAACCTGCTGCCACCCTCACGCCAGCTTCCAGCCTCCAGGCCTGAGACAGCATTTCCGTCGGGGAAGCCAGCTAGACCGCGGCGTCCTGTGACAGCCGCCCAGGGGGACTGGTGTGCCTACAAGGACGTTATTCATTTCAGACCTGGCTCTTTGTTTTGTCCTCCGTTTCTCACACCAGGCTTACATTTTCCTTTAGAGGACGTTGTGATTGTCATTTCAGGGTCCACGCCTGACAATTCCACTGTGGCTGCCCTTCTGGGCCTGTTGCTACTGACCCACATTCCCATGGTTACTCTTCCCTGCATCTGGACGTAGCAGCAATTTCTCATTGGATGTGGACATTGTGCTGTGACGGCTTTGATCACCTGGCATTTTTGTTGGGTTGTTTTGGGCCTTCCTTTAAAGGACGCTGCGCTGTGTTCTGCGTGGAGTTCAGCTCCTTGCTCTTCACTTTGGTCTTCGTGTGGCTGGTTCTGAAGCCTCTTAGAGCAGGTCCAGCCCAGCCTTTCCTGCAGGAAGAGTCCAGCCCCACTCCCAGGACGGGCCCTGCTGGGTGGCTGCCGACAGCCCAGGATCCTCCAGGACTCTCCCCCTGGCGGTCGGAACTCCTGTCTCCCACCTGTGAGTCCCAGGGGCCGGGGGTCCACAGCCCCCTAGGGTCCCACCCATGCTGAAAGTCCACCTTCCACATGCATGGCGCCCGACTCCGGAGGCCTCAGAGACCCTCAGGCAGCCTTCTGGAGCTTTCTGTCTGTGCAGTTCCCTCCTTTCCGGAGCTCTGCCTGCCAGGTCCCTCTGCGGATGCCTCCCTGAGCCCTGACCTCCTTCTCCTCAGCCCGCCAGGACTGCTGGACCTGCCTGGATGCCCGCCCCTGCTCGGCCATCCTCAATGGGCCTCCACCCCAGGGCTGGGGTGACCCGGGCTGAAAACAGTTCATCCTGAGTTTCAGTCTCGAGCTTTCGTGGCAGGAGGGAAACTGCTGGCTGTGTTACTCCACGGCGGCTGGAACGGACGGGACCAGCTCCCTTCAGAGGGGCACTTCGGTTGGTTCTAGAATTCTCCTTTGCTGTGAAAGCTGCCAGGCACATTCTACACTGGCCACCCTCCACCTCAAATGTGCGTTTATCAATGAAACGCCCTAATAGGACCTCCTGGATCAAAACACTGAGTATTGTCCTGCAACCTGCCTCTCAGAAGGCCGTGCCCTCCCGCCTGGGATCCTGCTGCTTCTCCGCCGGCCACCCCGCACACGCTCCGCTGCCTCTCTGGGCCGGCTCAGCCATTTCACGTTCCTGTGTGTGCACTGAGACATCCACCCTGGCACGCTTCTTCCCCTCAGCACGTGGTCCCCACGCTGTGCCTGCCCAGCTCGGAGCCCAGAGGCCCCCGCAGCTCCCCACAACTTCATGGTGCAGTGACCTGAGGCCTCCCCTGGCTCAGTCCCTTTCCCAGGGTCAGGGGTCCATGTATTGAACCAAGACGGGAGGTGCCTTCCCCCTGAGCTCTGTCCCTGCTGAACCTGGAAGGCAGCGCCCAGTGGCGGCTCAGACCCCCAGAGCCTCTTCTGAGGTCCGACACTCCTCTGCTCCCCCCAGGGAGACCCCCTGGCCTGGCCCCCAGCTCTCGGTGCCTCGGTTTCCTCACCTGGAAGGTGGGGATGTTGAAGGTGCCTGGCCTGTGGCTGTGCACTAAGCTAGGGTGACTGTGAGCTTCCAGAGCTCGAATGTCTGGAAGGAAGGGCGCGAGCTGGGTGCGTGTGAGTGTCCTGATCATGGACACAGAGCGTGGGGCCCCTTGGAGGGCTGGAACCCAGGTGGGGGATGCCCGGGTGGTGGGACAGAGTGGGGCTGGAGGAGAGGGTCTGAGGAATGTTCCGGCCACAGACACCCCAAGCCCATGGGAGGTCAGGAGTTGGTCACAAGGAAGGTGAGGTGGGGAACAGAGCTGGGGCCCAGGGTCCTGATTTGGGGTGAGAGGTGACGCCATCCCCGAGGCAGAAAGACGGCCAGGGGAGGGGAGGAGGTGGGGAAAGCAGACGGACGGGGAGGCGGGGGGAGCCCAGGGCCAGGAGTGTCAGGGGCAGGCACTTGAGACAGAGGCACCCTGAGGTTTCCCAGCAGGCAATTGATACCCTGGCCTGCAGCGGGGAGGAACCGGGGCTGGGCTGGAGGCCTGGGGACGCCTGGGGCTGCCCCAATTCCCAGCAGACACCTCACCCTCTGGGAAGCCCCAGCTGCCCCAGATCCCTCCCACAATGCTCTGACCACCCCCAACCCCCAAGTCCTCTCCCTTCTGTCCCCAAGCCCGAGGCCTTGGAGCTGCCCCCGCCCTGGGCCATGAGAGCTGGACACAGAGCCCTCCAAGTTCCACGGGCCTCCTGCACCGCCGCCTGCTCCGCCCTCCTGCCCTCCCCCTCGGCCTCCCCTGTGAGGGCTGCCCACCTAGGTGACCCCGGAGCCGCCTCCTCACGCCTCCATCTGCTCTGCACACCGTCCACTAGCCTGACAGCTGCCCAAAGCCTCCAGAGCACAGAACGGGCCTGGTGTCTGCGCCTCCGTCTCGGGGTGGGCCACGGCCGGTTCTGTGTCCCGTCCCCTCCCCGCTCACCAGCGGTGGACCCCAGCTTCCCTCTGCAGCAGCACTCAACTCATGCACTTTCTTGCAGACGCGCAGCCCACCTCGCCCCCGCAGGTTCCTCTTCATTCAGAGCCCCCCATGGCCTGGGCAGTCCATCCTGAGTGTCCGCACCACACGACTGTAGACGTTTGGCTTCTGGACTCAAATCCTTCACCAGATCGTGACCAGGAGGGCAATGGCCAGGCCTCGGCCTCAGCCCCCTGCCTGGCCTGCACTGGCACAGAGCAGGGGAGGTGCAGGCCGACCTTGAAGGCGCAGGAGTGGAGGGGGAGCCCTTAACTGGGCCCCGGACCCTGCCCTCCATCCCTTAGGGTGTGGCTCCAGCCCTCGGGTACCCACAGCCGCTGTCCCATCCTCTGTGCCCAGGGGCTCCCATCAACAGAAAAGGGAAGCATCTTTGGGGGTTTCTGGACAGTCCCCTGGAGACGGCCCTGCCGGGAGGTTGGGGTGTGGGGCTGACCCTGTGGGGATCCATGGAGACCCAGGTCGGGGCTGTGTGGAGGGCCTCACGGAGGGCAGTGGGGTGATGCGGTGCTGGACTCTTGGGGGCCTGGGGCTCCTCAGCTGTTGCAGAGTGATGGGGGGAGGCCCAGCCTGGGGGTGAGGGTCTGTGTTTTGTGCCCGTGACACTGACCAGTCTCAGCCTCAGTTTCCCCATCTGCCCCGGGGGGAGGTGTGCCCAGAATGCCCTCTAAATCCCCTGCCTGAAGCCGGGTGTGGTGGCTCACGCCTGTAATCCCAGCACCTTGGGAGGCTGAGGTGGGTGGATCACGAGATCAGGAGTTCTAACCCAGCCTGGCCAAGATGGTGAAACCCCGTCTATACTAAAAATACAAAAATTAGCCAGGCGCAGTTATAGGCGCCTGTAATCCCAGCTACTCAGGCAGCTGAGGCAGGAGAATCGCTTGAACCCGGGAGGCGGAGGTTGCAGTGAGCCGAGATGGTGCCACTGCACTCTAGTCTGGGTGACAGAGCGAGACTCCGTCTCAAAATAAATAAATAAATAAATAAATAAATAAATAAATAAATAAATCCGCGGCCTGGCCCCTGGCCCTGAGTTCGTGGGGAGGGCATCGCCCAGTGGGATCCTGGGGTCTCTGGGCTCAGGCCCTGGCTGTGACAGGAGTGGGGAGGGGCCCTGTGTCCCTGGGCCCAGGTCATGGGGGTGTAGGGAGGAGAGGCCGTGGGCCACCAGGGACCATTGTGTCTGGGGAGTCCCCTTGACAGGAGGCGCGGGGCTGGGGGGTGCTCACCTGCCTCTCTCTCCCTGTTGGTTCTGGTGGGCCCTGGGATGGGGGCGGTGATATCCTGTGGGCAACCGGGTCGGTGGGGACCGCTGGGGGCTGGAGAGGGCCCCGTCTCCCGCCTCCTTGGGCTGCCTCATTCCCTCCCTGATGACCCTGGTTTGCTGCACAAGGCCTGGCGGTGCTGGTGCTGGGACAGCCCACACTGAATGGATTGAATGGATGAAGGAGTGAGTGCTGTACTTAGCCGGGGGCGCTAGGCGCTGCGTCGGGAGCCTGGGACATTTCCTCCTGCTGCCTGGGAGGTAACACCCTGGACTGCTGGAGTCTGCATTCCAGGAGAGCGGGCAGACCACAGAAAAGGGAGAAAAGGGGTGGAGGGTCAAGGCGGGCGGACACAGGGAACAGGGAGCGGGGACAGGGCTTACTCAGCAATCAGAGAAGACCTCACGGAGGAGGTGAGGTGTTTAGGTGGTTGGTGAAGGCGGAAGCCCCAGGAATGGGTTAGTGCCCTTAAAAAAGAGACCTAGAAGGCTCCCTCACCCCGACCACTGTGTCAAGACACAATGAGGAGCCATCTAGGAACCAGGAAGAGACCCTCACCAGACCCCGAATCTACCGGCACCTTGATCTTGGACCTCCAGCCTCCAGAAATGTGAGAAATAAATTCCTGTTCTTTTATTTTTTGAGATGGAGTCTCGCTCACTTGCCCAGGCTGGAATGCAGTGGTGGGATCTCAGCTCACTGCAACCTCTGCCTCCTGGGTTCTAGCGATTCTCCTGCCTCAGCCTCCCGAGTAGCTGGGATTACAGGCACCCGCCACCATGCCCACCTAGTTTTTGTATTTTTAGTAGAGGCCGGTTTTCACCCTGTTGGCCAGGCTGGTCTCAAACTTCTGACTTCAAATGATCTGCCCGCTTCGGCCTCCCAAAGTGTGGGGATTACAGGCGTGAGCCACCTCGCCCTGCCGAATTTCTGTTCTTGTTAAGCCACCCAGTCTATGGTAGTTTTTATTTTTATAGCAACTTGAATAGAACAAGATAACCTCCCACATTCAACAGCTACTGAGTGGACAAGCTTAAATTAAACAACTGTTTTCAAAGATGTGGCACCGGGCGGCCCAGGACAGCGGTGCCGCTGAAATACTCTCAGGGCCCTGCGCTGCTGGCTGCCTCCCACTTCTCTCCCCTCTCCCTCTGCCGTCCTGTCTTCTTTGCCCAGCCTCTCCTTATTTCTCTCCTCTTCCTTCCTTCCCCCCACCTCCCCATAGCCGGGCTTGGACAAGTCAGACAGACCTCTGAGGTCTCATCCCGGAGCTGCCACTAACCCAGCCTCCCCCGGGACC
Organism: Homo sapiens; assembly: GCF_000001405.40. Lineage (NCBI taxonomy): Eukaryota > Metazoa > Chordata > Mammalia > Primates > Hominidae > Homo > Homo sapiens. The sequence continues at coordinate 116,459 of NT_187515.1, read as the reverse complement.
TGCCCTCACCTCCCAGAGCCCTGGGAGCCAGGGACACTCCCTGGGGCTGAGTGAGTACCGGGGGCTGCACCTGCCACTCCCATGTCCTCGGCCCCACTCCCGCGGATGCAGCAGGTGGCTGGTGACCGAGGCCAGACCTGGGAGCAGCAGCTCCCGCTGGGTGTGATTTCTCTCAGGGAGCCTCATCGTCAACATCATTGATTTCTCCACACTTGGCCTAATCTCATGCATGAAAAGAAGAAAATCAAGGGGTGAGCACACAGCGGCCCCATGAGGGCTCGTGTCCCCAGCCGTCGTCTCTTGGAGCTCTGTCCCCCCAAACCTGGGAGGTGGCCCCAGAGCTTTTCCAGGATCCATGGCTCCTCCCAGGAGGAGGAGCTACAGGTTGGGGCAGGTGGGCTTCCTGCTGTGCCTGGAGCCCAGATGTCAGGTGGCCTCCCTGGGGGAAGGGAAGTTGGGGCCCCTGACCAGGGAGCCCTCTGCCACCCCTGCCCGCTCACTCCATGGCCCCATGCTCCCACCTGCCCCCGGGACTGTGGGCAGAAGGGCAGGCTGTGCTTGGCTCCCATCTAGCACTGGGGGGCAGCCAGGTCTATGGGGTCAGCCTCTGAAAAGGTACCCTGGCAATGACCCTGGACGGTGGTCAGGAGCCGGTCCATGCACAGGGAGGCCCGTGGTCCCTGGAGACCACGCCTCCAGTTGGGGAGAGGGTGACACGGGGTGGGGCAGCCAGAAGTGCTGCTTTCTAGGGGCCCAGGGCTCCACCTGGCCTGCATGGGCCTCTCCACACCCCAGGACGCTAAGCCAAAGCTTCCACAGGACAAGGGGTGGCAGGAGAGGAGTTGGGGTGGGTGGCTCAGCCTGGGGGCTCTGCTGGAGGCAGGTGACAAGGAAAGGAGAGGGGGTAGGGCGGGGTGGAGCGGGCATGCTCGGAGGGGCTATGTGGCCTCCATCCTCATGGCATGGCTGCAGGGTCATTCCCCTCACCGCTTCTAACTTCAGATGTGGGGAAAGGGGCCTCATCCCGACCATTAAATGAATGTGTGGCTCAGAGGCCTGGTGAAGCCCCTGCCAGCGGGACCTGGGCCTGGCGGGTTCCCGGAGCAGGTGGAGAGGGCTGGGCACAGCAGGCGTCACTGATACTGGGGTTTCTCGGTGGACACAGCTGGGAAGTGTAGGTCAGATGTAGATCTGGGGTTTTTACTGGGCAAATCTGACACCATTTGAGCATCAGAATCCACAGCAATAGCCTCGGACGGAGCCACAGAGGTCAGAAGAGCCCACTGAGAGCTCAGCTGTTGGGATATGAAGGGGCGGCCAGGGCTCCTCTCTGGGTGGAGTGAACCCCCAGGCATGACGGGAGGAGGGCAGGGGTCCCCCGAACAGCCCAGCAGCCATCCTGGAACTCCTTGTTCAGCAAGAAACACCGGGAGGTGACAGTTTGAGGAGAAACAAGATATTTACATCCTCCCACAGCATCTCCCCAAATACACTGTTTCATGACAAATAGAAAACAGGAGCCGAATTCAAATCCAATTTAGAAAATCACTTCCGATGTGGTATCCACTAAACACCACACTGCAGCCAACCCAGTCCAGCCTTGGCTGTGAGGCAGTGCCCGGGGCCTGTCCTGCTGAGGCCACAAGAGTCAGACGCGCAGACAGCTGGGGTCTGAAGGGCCCTCTGGGCTGGCCCAGGAGGGCTGGGTGTGTGGTCTGTGAGCGAGGGGCAACTGGCGCTCCTCCTCAGGACTCTGGGGAGCTCAGGCCACAGCAGAACAGAGGCCCCAGGCCCTCACTGGCCCATGGGAATGGCACGTGGCGTCCCCAGCTCTACCCCAGCAGGGGCCCCACCTCTCCCTCCACTGGAGGAGACGGAAGCCAGCCCAGGGCGGAGCCCCCAAGCCTCCGGGCTCCGGTGGTTCCGCCAGGTGGACAGCCTCTTTCAGCAGCCGTCGCTCCAGGTATCTCTGGCGTCGGGGTGCAGAGTCTGTGGGTCAGTGGTTTGGGCTCCTCCCCGTGAATGAGGGTATTGTCTCCTCCACGGCCACCGTGGTGACGTCCGGAGGGGCCTGCAGGGCCTCAATGACTGTGGCCTCACCTTCTGCCTCCTGTCTTTTCCGCTGTGAGCACACGAATCGTGGAGACCCTGCCTGCTCAGGCCCCCCTGGGACTCCAGGTTCTCGGGTTCATTTTACTGCTTTCAGTTTGAGGGGGTGGGTTCTTTCCTGAGCTACCGTGGCTGTACTTGAAAGACTCAGGACCCTCAGAGAACTGGGAGCCCCCACCATGTACACCAGAAACACCAGCCCCAGCGGGGAGAGGGGAGGTGGGAAGGTGGAGGGGGGAGGGAGAGGGGGAGGAGGATCAATACCTGGACGGAGACGATCACCTTGACTACATCACCTGCAATACACAGACACACAGGTCAGGGAGGGGCAGTGTCTGATCAGGGGACACAGGCTCATGGCAATGGTCTCACAGCGGTGGCGGAGGCACAACTCCTGCTTCTCCCTGGGAGACCGTCCCCAAGGGACTGACCCTCTCTGAGAGCAGAGGAGGCCAACTGTGTTGGGACTGCTAGCCCAGCCTGTCCCCAGGAGGCCCAGCATGGGTGATAGGACTGGGGGCGCCCGGCCCACCTCCCCAGCTGAGGCCCCCAAGTGCATAACTAACCCTAATTCAACCGTCATCTATGGGAGGGGAACAAGCGCTTCACAGTGGAGAGGCCCTGCCCACCATACCAGCAGGTGCCCAGTTGGGTGAGACTAAGCTGCTGCCCGGCCTACCCTAGAGCCTGAGGCCCCGAGACCTCCCCGCATTGGAGGCCCCGGGTGAGGATCAGGTGGCTTTGCTGCCGCCTGGCTGGAGGATGGGGCTGACTTTCCCTTCAGACCTCAATGCTTAGAAGCTGCGTCCCCGGGGGCTGTGCACAGGGCTCCCAGGGCCACAGCCGGGTCCACACAGCGGGGTCAGTGCCCAGGAGGCCAGGCACAGGAGGCCAGGCACAGCACAGGTGCCCAGACCAGGGCGGATAGGTGGATGAATGAATGAATGAATGAATGGCCTTACTCTCCTCAATGAGGACAAAGCCTTGTCCCCAGCAGGGCGGCTGTTGACCCTCAGCCCAGAGCTTCTCCCAGCTGAGCAGGGCCTGTCCTGCTCCCCACATCCCACAGGGGGCAGGCAGGAGCACAGGGTCATAGAGTGCGTGGGCAGGGGTGGCTGAGGGCTCCACGGTCAGGGGTCCCACCTTCCCTTCCCCCAGGGAGGCCAGCTGACACCTGGGCTCTGGCCACAGCAGAAAGCCCACCTGCCCCAGCCTGCAGTGGCTGCCCTGGGAGGAGCCGCGGATCCTGGAAAAGCTCTGGGGCCACCTCCCAGGCTTGGGGTGACAGAGCTCCAAGAGGTGACGGCTGGGGACATGAGCCCTGATGGGGCCGCCGTGTGCTCACCCCTTGGCTTTCTTCTTTTCACACATATGATTAGGCCAACTGTGGAGCAAACAATGACGATGACGAGGCTCCCTGAGAGAAACCACCATACCCAGTGGGAGCTGCTGGTCCCAGCTCCGGCCTTCGTCACCAGCCAGCTGCACCTGCGGGAGTGGGGCCGAGGACGTGGGAGAGGCAGGTGCAGCGCCCAGTGTTCACTCAGCCTCAGGGAGCCTCCCTGGCTCCCAGGGCCCCAGGCAGTGAAGACAGGTCCCAGGGAGGCTGGGCTGGTGGCAGCTCCAGGATGAGACCTCAGAGGTCTGTCTGACTTTTCCAAGCTCGGCTATGGGGAGGTGGAGAGAAGGAAGGAGGAGAAGAGAAACAAGGAGAGACTGGGCAAAGGAGACAGGACGGCAGAGGGAGAGGGGAGAGAAGCGGGAGGCAGCCAGCAGTGCAGAGACCCCAGAGCACGGGAGACCAGTGGCAGACAAGGACAGAAGGTAGAGGGAGAGCCAGTGTCGGGACAAAAATGGTTAGAGCTGGAGATGGACAGGACTGAGCTGGGGCCAGAGGACGAGGAGGGCAGAGCAGGATGGAAGGCCCCACCGCCCCCTCCCTGGGGCAGCCATCCCTGCTCCATCCCAGGCTCCGCTGGGGGACCCCAGCTCCTCCCAAGAAGCTCTGAAGTCTCAGGTCAGTTAGGGGCCCAGGGTCAGCATTTGAAGGTGTCCTCCCGAAGGTGGACAAAGAGCAGAGTGTTCACTTTCCCCAACCCCTGAAGCCCAGGGGCCCTCCCATGGCCCTGACATTCAGGGACACCCACAGCCCCAGGGGACAGGGGATCTGGAGGCAGCCTCCCTCTGGGCCTGCTTCTGGGAAGGCCCATCCTGAGCCTCCAGGAAGCTCAGATCTGATGAGGCTTTGTCTGGGCCCATGGAAGGGGTTATCTGGGGCACACAGGCTTCAGCCCTGCAGCTCTCCTGGACGCAGGCATGTGACCAGGGTGCCGCTCAGGGTGGGACCTTCAAGCCTTTCTGCTGGAGAAGACGGTCATCTCCCAGGGAAGCAACGTGGAGCCCCCTCCCCAGGGCACAGAGCTGGGCCTCCCCCGGGTTCACTTACTTGGTCTGGTGCTGACATTCCTCCAGGGTCCCATTGGGAGAGAAGGTCCCCGGGGGGCAGTTCTGACACAGGGTGTCCTGACTCTCGGTGCCTGAGAAGAGAGGGACGGACAGAGGGGGCTGAGGGCACCAGGCCAGGAGGGGGCTGGCGGCTAGGGACTGCTTGTCTGTGAGCTTCTAGACCTGGGTGCTCTACGGGTGATGGGAGGACCAGCGGGGAGGGGCAGGCTCCCTGTCCAGAGTCTTGGAGGTGGGGCCTGGGGTGGTGGCTCTGGCTGTCCCGGCCTTGAGTAGCTGGGATCTCATGAGTCCGGGAGTCCCTCTGTGTCCACATCCTGCAGTGCTGCGGGGGCTGCCCGGCCAGATGCAGGCCAGGGCTGGACACTTACTCCTCCTAGACTTAGCTTGAACAGTGGCATTAACCATGGTCACTCCCATAAACCCAGGCTCCAGACCAGGGGCCCGAGAGCGAGGCCTGGGGACTGGGAAGTCCCAGAACCCCGAGGTGGAGCAACCTGGGGTGGCCCTTCCTTGCCCCTTCCCCTGCCTCCATCACCTGTTCCCCACTGGGCTGCTTCCAGGACAGGGCTGAAGTGGGTGGGCCTGGGGCTGGCCAAGGTTCTGTCTCACCAGGGCCCCTGGGCAGGCCATGCCGTCGAGGAAACCTGGGGCTCCAGACAGCGGGGCACTGGGGACCAGGGTGGAAATGGGAGGGGTGTCCGCCACCCACCGCTTACCTCCCTTCTGCACCCTCTGGCCCGGGCTGGAGGTGGCGTAAGCGCGGCACGCGGCGCAGTGGTCCCCGTCCTGGACGATGCAGAAGTGGCCTGGGCTGCAGCCACACACGGCGTTCTCTGTCCTGGAGCAGTTCCGGCTCGCGCGCAGGCCCATGGCTGGAGTCCAAGAGGAGGGGCTGAGAGGGGTACGTGGAGGCCGGGACACCATCCACGGGCCAGGACAGCATCCACAGGCCAAGGACTGCTGCCAGGGCGCCCTGCCAGGCTGAACCCCTGGCTCAGCCAAACGAGGTGCCCAGAGGTACCCAGCATGGAGGACCTGAGGCCGGGAGGGACACCAAGGGACGGCAGAGCTGCGTGTGGGACGAGGGCTTGCAGGAAGGTCCTGGGAGGGCTTCGTTGATGGGAGAAACCAGCCTTCTGCCCAGATGGGCAGGACGCCGAGCTTGCACTGTCAGTTCCAGGGCAGGGTCCCGCAGGCAGGTCCTCGCCCCACGTGCCCACCCAGACACCCACCCCGCAAACGGGTTTCCCATCTGTGCAAACCAGGCCATTCCAATGGCAGAGGCAGGTAGGGTGAGAGCCCCACTTCTTCAGGTACTGGTGGAGGTGGGGTACAAGCTGGGCCTGGGCCCCTCCTGAGGGCAGCCTCACCTGCCACCTGTGCCCCCACATCCTCAGCCCAAGTAGACAGGTGCTTTCACAAGAGGGGAGGGGCATGGAACTGGGCATGCAGGTTGAGGTGTGAGCCCCAAATCCCAGCCTACATGCATGAACCCCCAAAGCACTCCAGCTTCCTCTTCTGTTCATGGCTAGCCCACCTGCCCTGTGCCTCCCTGTAGGCTCAGGCCCTGCCCCCAGGTGTGCCGTCAGCCCTGTCCCGCAGGTGCAGTCCTGCCTGGCCGCAGGGAGCACTGGCCATGCTGAGCCTGGCATGAGGCTCCAAGGGGACAGAGCCGTTGGCCGCATGGACAGGCTCTGCGCTCAGTGACTCAAAGGCCACCTCTGGGTCTGGTTCCCCTTTCTGTCTGCCTGGACTCAGGTGGGCACCAGCCTCCAGGTGACCTCTTCCCCTGAGGTCACAGGGGGAACCAATATCTGGAGGAGAAAGGGACAAGAAGCCCTGTGGGGAAGCAGCAGGCCCGAGTGCCGGCCGGAGAGTCCCAGCACCATCCCATTCCACTTTGCAGCTAGGGACGTGGGCACAGGAGAGGTCTGGGCACCCACCCCGGGCACCAGAGGAGCCAAGGACGAGGGATAAGGGTCAGTCGCCAAGCTCAGGATGGCCCACCTGGCGGTGACAAAGTGAGAGGTGAGACAGAGGTGGACGGGGGCCGGAGGCTGACCTCAAGGCGTCCCCTGCAGGGTGCATCCATGGAGATGGGGTTGGGACCTGGCCTGGGGCAGCCGGGGCCTTCCTGGGGCACTGTGGCCATGGAGAGAGGGTGCAGGGTGCGGGGGCATCCAGGCTGCCCAAGCGGAGGCTGGGCCGGCTGTGCTGGCCTCTTACCTGGGTCACACATTTGGCACTGCAGACACTTGCTTAGGCCATTGAGGTGGGCAATGTAGGTGCCTGGAGGGCAGGGTTCACACACTGTGCCCGTCAGCTCCCCGCAGGCCTCCTTCACACGATAACCTGCCGCCCAGAGAGTGGGAACTTCGCAAGTCTGCGGGAGGCCCCTTCGGGAGCCCACCCATCACTCCACCCGCGCCCAGAGCCCAAGCAGGGAGACACCAGCTAAGGGGACTCAAATGGCCCATGAGCCCCACGGGACACAGCAGCCCCATCAGCCATGAGCAGAGCTGCTCTGGGGAAAATCGGAAAGTTCTGGAAGCACATGGGGCCTCCTGGGACACCTGGCCCGGCTCTGGTATGTGCCCCCGAGCCCATGTCTCTGGCCACGGTGGGCCAGCCACGTCTCTCAGACCCACCCCCTGTGCAGTGTGACTGTGAGGGTCCCCCAGGGTGAAGAGTCCAAGCTGCTGGCCTGGGGGTTCTGCCCTCACTGTCTGCACACCTAGCCCCAGGGCTTCATCACACCCATGGCTGTGGGGGCAGAGAACACAGGGGTGTCTGGGGCAGAAGGGGGCAAGAGTGTCTGCCCTCGGCCCACAGAGCTGGCCCGCCAAAGGGCTGCACCTACCTGGACTGCACTTGGGGCAGCACTCGGAGCCCACTGGGTACTCGTCCTCCTTGCAGGACGGCAGAGCTGGGGCGTAGCAGGGGGCTCCCAGGAAGGTGAGATACAGCACCTAAGGGGGTCAGGACAGGCATTGGGAGATGCCCTGGCTGCCCTGTGGGCTCTGCCAGGCTTGGCCCCACAGCCTGAATCTCCCTCTGTGCAATGGGGAGGAGCGGCAGTGCCTGGTAGAGAGGACAGAAGCGGGCCCCAGGCCAGGCTCATGGAACAACCTTGCCGACCGCTGGAGCCCGGGATAGGGTGGGGACCGCCCCTCCTCCAGCCCTGATGACGCTGCCTGGCAGCGCGGAGCCCTGGGAACTGGAACTCTGCCCTCGCCAGGGACCCCACACCCCACACCTGGGAGCATTGAGCCCACTGGGCAGACAACCTGCCGGCCCCCCTGCTGGCCTAGGTTGGACCTGCTGACCCCTGAAGAGCCAGCAGGGGCAGCCAGGGATGGGCCCCAGAGGCTCACAAGCCAGACAGTGGGTGACAGGCTGATCAGGGCCACATCGGGGAGGGTGGCTCTGCCGTGGCCTCGTTCCTGGGCTGGCTGATGGGCAGTCGGGGGCCCCTGATGGGGATAGTGGCTGGACAGGCAGGAGTGCCACATGAGCATGGAGAGTATCCCCACCCCACCCACCTGGGTCCAGCCCCCTGCTGCACACTGATCTTATCACCTGTCACCAAGGTCAGGGCTGCCGGGGAGTTGGGTCACCTGCTCGAGGGCCCCGCCCAGAGACGCCCAGAGACACCCAGCCCCCAGAAGTGCCCACATCCGGCCAAATGGGGGCTCACCAGCTGCCCGTGGACGGAGTGGTGAGTGGGGGACACACGCAGGAGGAGGTCTGCTGGGTAGGGCTGTGGCTCTGCTGCTCACCCCACTGTGGTGAGCCCAGTGCTGGGGGTCTGGGTTGACCCGAGAGCCCCAGGCAGCAGGGGACGGGCTGGACGCCGGAGCCAGCAACGGCCAGGACAGGGGCATGGGGAAGAGATCTGTGGGAGGCCCTGGGGTCAGAACTGGGATCTGCGAGCAGACGGAGAGGAGGCTCGGGGGCTCACCAGCCTCAAGACGTCGGTTTTGGGGGTGGATCTCCAGGGAGGAGGCCCCCAGTCTCCAGGAGGCTCCATGCCTCAGGCTCAGACCGGCAGCTCGGGAACCCAGCTAGCAGGATGAACTCCAGCAGAGGAACTCAGCGCCATTGCTGCGGCTGTGGGCCAGAAGAGAAAGAGAAAGAGAAAGAGAATCCGCCTCGGTGTGACAAGCTGTGCCTCAGAACCCGAGCAGCAGGAGAGTGGGCAGCAGGGGGTGTCTGGCAGCAGAGAGGGGCTCAGGCCTGCTGGGTGGAGCGGCGCTGGGGGACACAGGTGGGCCCTGCGGGAGGCAGGAGCTGTCCAGGCAAAGCCGAGGGGAAGGGCCGGTATGAAGGAGGCGCCCGATGGGAGGGGCGAGTTCTCCCCCTGCACCATTCCAGTCCACTCCGGGTTTCCTGTAGAAGGGGGAGCCCCCCAAAGTCCATCTGTGTTTCCCCACCTCACTCACACACTCAGGGACCCTCGGCTGCTCCCCGGGGCGCTGACTGACATTTTTGCCGAATAAAGGGGCCCTGTGGGTTTCCTGTTCCCATCTCAGCTTCTGCTGAACAGGGTAAACTTCCCTTCCGAATAAAACCACCAGAATGCGGTCTGGCCAATTTCAGTCATAGACCCACCAGGCCTGTGTCCCTGCGTGAGGGGGTGGGAAAAGCCCAGAGTGCCCCTACCCGTCCCCTGGGAGGGGTGGAAGGGCAGCTCTTGCTCCCCCTGCAGAGACGCTGCGCGGACTGGGAAGGCTGCCAGCCTCGCCCGGTCTCCCTGTGGACCCTGCCCTGACCCCACCCCAGCTTCCTGGCTCCCTGCACCCCACTGGGCTTCCCTGCCCCACAGAGCCTGGTGGTAGGGAGACCTCCGGATGGAGACAGCCCACAGTCCCGGAGCCCCAAGGCAGGCACCAGTGAGTCCCTCGTGACGGCCTCGCTCCCTGCATCACATGGAACCTCGTGACCCACGTGACGACGCCAGTGCCCCCGTGGCCCCTTCCTGCTGCTGGACGTGATGCAGTCAATGGAAGCCCAGGTCTGTCACGCACCGCCTGTGCTTGCCCAGAGCAGGTCCCAGTCACCCCCTCTGGCACCGCCTGCTGCACACCAGGAACCCCCACCTCCAGCAAGCCCATCTGCCAGACGCCTGGCCCAGGACCGCCCCCTGCCCCTCGACTGCCCCCTGCCCCTCCTGGTCCTGACTTCAGCCAGGTGACCCCCTCCAGGGTCCAGCCCTGGCCCCTGGGGGACTCAGTGGCATCTGGTGGAAAGGACCTTGGGGATTGCGCCCACCCTCACCTGCAGGAGAGTTGGCAGGGTGGCCAGCCACAGGAATCTGTGGCAGGAGCCCGGGGACCTGCACCCCAACTAGAAAGTGTGCAGCCCTGCAGGCCGGCCCTGGAGAGGGAGCAGGCAGGGGTGAAGTTAGGCCGGCTGTGGTGTGCGACACCGTCCTGTGGGGCCAAGCGTCCCGAGCTCCAGAGGCAGGTGCACTCCTGGCCAGCATCCAGGGTGGACGAGCCCAGACCCCAATACTCTGAGGCAGGGTGGGGGACCAGGTGGCACCCAGTGGAGGAAAAGCCCCCAAGAGACACGCAGGAGCATGGACTCCCACCCCACAGCTGGAGCCTGGGAGAGGAGCCCCATCTGCTGTTTCCCTGGTGCACTCACATCCTGGCCCTCAGCGCCCCCTGCCAGGAATGTCCCCCACATGCAGAGCCATGTGGGTCTTGCAAGGAAGAAGAAGGGGGCCCCTTGCATCCTCCACTCCCGGGGGCCCCAGGAGGGCATGGGGGCTCCAGGGTGCAGGGACAGCACGTTCCCTCACCAACTCCCCAAGAACGCCCAACCTCCAAGAGCAGACACAGCGCCTACACCTGCCGGTACGGGGCTCCAACCCCACTCTCTCAGATACGTCCTCCAGAGTCGTCTCATCCACCCCACCCTGGGGAGGAGGGAAACTGAGGCATGGCAAGAGACAAGACTAACACAGGCATCAGTGAGACTCAGCCCCTCCTGCCCCTTCCTCCATGCCCCTCCTACCCCGACTTCAGCTCCCACACCAAGGCCCCAAGCCTGACATAGGGCCCCAGGTGCCAGGCCTCAAGGGGGCTGAAGGGAGCCCATCTGCCCCACCGAGGGCACAGACAGTGCCAGGTCTTTGCTGAAATGTCACCTCTTCCTTGAGGCCTTCTCTGATTGCTGAGTAAGCCCTGTCCCCGCTCCCTGCTCCCCGTATCCGCCCGCCTCGGCCCTCCGTCCCTTTTCTCCCTTCTCTGTGGCCTGCCCGCTCTCACAGAATGCAGACTCCAGGGGTCCAGGGTGTTACCTCCCGGGCAGCAGGAGGAAATGTCCTGGGCTCCCCACCCAGCGCTCAGCGCCCCCCGCTAAGTACAGCACTCACTCCTTCATCCATTCAGCGTGGGCTCTCCCGGCACCAGCACCGCCAGGCCCTGTGCAGGACCCCAGGGTCATCAGGAAGGAAATGAGGCAGCCCAAGGAGGCGGGAGACGGGGCCCTACCCAGCACCCAGCCATCTGCATTGACACGGCTGCCCGCAGGATATCACTGCCCCCATCCCGGGGCCCACCATTACCAGCAGGGAGAGGGAGGCAGGTGAGCACCCCGAGCCCCACGCCTCCTGTCGCGGGGACTCCCCAGACCCAATGCTGTGCCAGTGCAGGCCAGGCAGGGGGCTGAGGCCGAGGCCTGGTCATTGCCATCCTGGTCACGATCTGGTGAAGGATTTGAGTCCAGAAGCCAAACGTCTACAGTCGTGTGGTGCGGACACTCAGGATGGACTGCCCAGGCCATGGGGGGCTCTGAGGGATGAAGAGGAAACTGCGGGGGCGAGGTGGGCTGCGCGTCTCTGAGAAAGTGTGTGAGTTGAGTGCTGCTGCAGAGGGAAGCTGGGGTCCACCGCTGGTGAGCGGGGAGGGGACGGGACACAGAACCGGCCGTGGCCCACCCCGAGACGGAGGCGCAGACACCAGGCCCGTTCTGTGCTCTGGAGGCTTTGGGCAGCTGTCAGGCTAGTGGACGGTGTGCAGAGCAGATGGAGGCGTGAGGAGGCGGCTCCGGGGTCACCTAGGTGGGCAGCCCTCACAGGGGAGGCCGAGGGGGAGGGCAGGAGGGCGGAGCAGGCGGCGGTGCAGGAGGCCCGTGGAACTTGGAGGGCTCTGTGTCCAGCTCTCATGGCCCAGGGCGGGGGCAGCTCCAAGGCCTCGGGCTTGGGGACAGAAGGGAGAGGACTTGGGGGTTGGGGGTGGTCAGAGCATTGTGGGAGGGATCTGGGGCAGCTGGGGCTTCCCAGAGGGTGAGGTGTCTGCTGGGAATTGGGGCAGCCCCAGGCGTCCCCAGGCCTCCAGCCCAGCCCCGGTTCCTCCACGCTGCAGGCCAGGGTATCAATTGCCTGCTGGGAAACCTCAGGGTGCCTCTGTCTCAAGTGCCTGCCCCTGACACTCCTGGCCCTGGGCTCCCCCCGCCTCCCCGTCTGTCTGCTTTCCCCACCTCCTCCCCTCCCCTGGCCGTCTTTCTGACTCGGGGATGGCGTCACCTCTCACCCCAAATCAGGACCCTGGGCCCCAGCTCTGTTCCCCACCTCACCTTCCTTGTGACCAACTCCTGACCTCCCGTGGGCTTGGGGTGTCTGTGGCCGGAACATTCCTCAGACCCTCTCCTCCAGCCCCACTCTGTCCCACCACCCAGGCATCCCCCACCTGGGTTCCAGCCCTCCAAGGGGCCCCACGCTCTGTGTCCATGATCAGGACACTCACACGCACCCAGCTCGCGCCCTTCCTTCCAGACATTCGAGCTCTGGAAGCTCACAGTCACCCTAGCTTAGTGCACAGCCACAGGCCAGGCACCTTCAACATCCCCACCTTCCAGGTGAGGAAACCGAGGCACCGAGAGCTGGGGGCCAGGCCAGGGGGTCTCCCTGGGGGGAGCAGAGGAGTGTCGGACCTCAGAAGAGGCTCTGGGGGTCTGAGCCGCCACCGGGCGCTGCCTTCCAGGTTCAGCAGGGACAGAGCTCAGGGGGAAGGCACCTCCCGTCCTGGTTCAATACATGGACCCCTGACCCTGGGAAAGGGACTGAGCCAGGGGAGGCCTCAGGTCACTGCACCATGAAGTTGTGGGGAGCTGCGGGGGCCTCTGGGCTCCGAGCTGGGCAGGCACAGCGTGGGGACCACGTGCCGAGGGGAAGAAGCGTGCCAGGGTGGACGTCTCAGTGCACACGCAGGAACATGCAACGGCTGAGCCAGCCCAGAGAGGCAGCGGAGCGTGTGCGGGGCGGCCGGCGGAGGAGCAGCAGGATCCCAGGCGGGAGCGCACGGCCTTTTCGGAGGCAGGTTCCAGGACAATACTAAGCGTTTACATCATTGCACTATTTGATCCAGGAGGTCCCACTGTGGCGTTTCATCGATAAACGCACATGCGAGGTGGAGGGTGGCTGGTGTGGAATGTGCCCGGCAGCCTTCATAGCAAAGGAGAATTCTAGAACCAACCGAAGTGCCCCTCTGAAGGGAGCTGGTCCCGTCCGTTCCAGCCGCCGTGGAGTAACACAGCCAGCAGTTTCCCTCCTGCCACGAAAGCTCGAGACTGAAACTCAGGATGAACTGTTTTCAGCCCGGGTCACCCCAGCCCTGGGGTGGAGGCCCATTGAGGATGGCCGAGCAGGGGCGGGCATCCAGGCAGGTCCAGCAGTCCTGGCGGGCTGAGGAGAAGGAGGTCAGTGCTCAGGGAGACATCCGCAGAGGGACCTGGCAGGCAGAGCTCCAGAAGGGAGGGAACTGCACAGACAGAAAGCTCCAGAAGGCTGCCTGAGGGCCTCTGAGGCCTCCGGAGTCAGGCGCCATGGATGTGGAAGGTGGACTCTTCAGCATGGATGGGACCCTAGGGGGCTGTGGACCCCCGGCCCCTGGGACTCACAGGTGGGAGACAGGAGTTCCAACCGCCAGGGGGAGAGTCCTGGAGGATCCTGGGCTGTTGGCAGCCACCCAGCAGGGCCCGTCCTGGGAGTGGGGCTGGACTCTTCCTGCAGGAAAGGCTGGGCTGGACCTGCTCTGAGAGGCTTCAGAACCAGCCACACGAAGACCAAAGTGAAGAGCAAGGAGCTGAACTCCACGCAGAACACAGCGCAGCGTCCTTTAAAGGAAGGCCAAAAACAACCCAACAAAAATGCCAGGTGATCAAAGCGGTCACAGCACAATGTCCACATCCAACGAGAAATTGCTACTACGTCCAGACGCAGGGAAAGGTGGCCGTGGGAACGTGAGTCAGCAGCAACAGGCCCAGAAGGGCAGCCACGGTGGACTTGTCAGACGTGGACCCTGAAATGACAATCACAGCATGATTTCAGGCAGGAGCCTGAAATGGTACAGCTTTGGACATCGGTTTGGCAAATTCTTTTAGAGAGAAACACACACCTTCCCTAGGACCCAGCAACTCCACTCCTAATAACCAAGTGAAATGGAAGGAGTTGTCCTCAGCAAAACGTGTGTGCGGAAGTTCACAGTCACTTTCTCGGTGATAACCAAGAGCTGGAAACCACTGCAACACCCACCAGCAGGTGAACGGATTAACACACTGGGCTAGGGCCACACAATGAGATGCTCCGTGGCAACACAAAATGAACCGTGGACACACACTGCACGGCGGATGAATATGCAGACATCAGGCCACGTGAAGGGAGCCAGGCCCCGAGGCGCCACGCTTTGTGATTCAGGTGAAATTCTGGGACAGGCAGATCTAACCTGCAGGGAGAGAGAGGTCAAGGATGATGGGGCCAGGGCTGGGGAGGGGTTGGGAAGGGGCTCATGTTGCTGGGGTGTCAAAACAAAGCAAAGGGCCACAGACTTGGGGGCTCAAGAAATGGAAACACAATGGTGTCATGGTTCTGGGGGCTGGAAGTCCAAGATGCAGGGGCAGGTGGGGTTGGTTCCCTCCTGGGCCTGCAGATGGTACCTGCTCCCTATGTCCTCACAGGGTGGTCCCTCTGCGCCCAAGACCCGGCTGCCTCCTCCTCTTCCTGGCTGCAGGGAGTGCTTGTGTCTGAAGAACGCCAGGCTGGTGTCCCCAGAGGGCGGCTGGAGGGGCTCAGAAACCATTTTCACCTTCTGTCTCCTCCATGTCTGCACTGTTTGGGTTTGTACCCGCCTGTGTCGCTTTTGCACGGGAAGTGAGATGGAGAGACACGTGAACCACCATTGCTGGGGTTCCAGCATGGGGCCCCAGGGGACCCATGGCTTTCCCAGAAGGAAGCTCTGCCATTGGACAGCCGGTCTCAGGCTGCTGCACAGGCCCCTCCCCGCCCTCAGCCCTGGCCTGCGGGAATCAGGAAAGGGTGGGGTCCAGCTGCATTGCGAATGGACTAAAGCCACTGATTTGCACACTTGCCAATGGCTGAAATGGTCAATAAAACGTCATGTACCTTTTGCCACAGGAAAGAAAGCACGCAGCCAAAGAGCGCAAAGAGGCTCAGAGGAGGCCCGGGTGCCCTGGAGAGACGCTGCGTCCTGACGACACAGCATCCCTGTCCCGCAGCGGAGATTTCCCAGATGAAGGATTCCCCGGCGGGAGACAGGGCCCTGCACACAGGTCCTCTGCCACGCTGCTCACCATGCCTGTGTGTTATCTCCCCATGAAAAGTCACCTAGGCCGAGCATGGTGGCTCACGCCTGTAATCCCAGCACTTTGGGAGGTGGAGGCGTGCGGATCATCTGAGATCAGGAGTTTGAGACCATCCTGAGTAACATGGTGAAACCCCGTCTCTAGGAAGAATACAAAAATTAACTGGGCATGGTGTCAGGTGCCTTGTAATCCCAGCTACTCGGGAGGCTGAGGCGGGAGAATCGCTTGAACCTGGGTGGCGGAGGTTGCAGTCACAGCGTTTGCAGCGAAGCGGCTCCCAGAGCTGGGAGGAAAGCCCCGCCTGCAGCCAAGCTCCTGCTCCACCACCCCAGGTGCAGAGGGGCTGCCCCAGGCGGGGGACTCCAACTCCCTCTCAGCCAGGGCCAGGCCTGTGGGGTCCGGGCCTTCTCAGGGCCGAGGCCTCACTGCCCGAGCACGGGCCCTGCCTGCGGCAGTTACGCGGATGGTTCCTTTTTAAACGCAGGAGCTGCCGTCATCTTCTCTCACTCAGTGGTCATCACGGAAAGTGAAAACGACGGTGCTGCTCCTCCCACGGAGGAGAGACAAGCTCACAGGTGGGGAAGCCAGACCCTCGAGGATGAAGTGGGGGGCACAGCCCTGTCCTCCCTCAGATGCCCCAAGATAGGCCAGGGTGGGAGAAGGGGGCACCTGTCCCAGGCACTGGGTGGCCGCTGCCCGGCAGAGGGTCTCTGCCCCCATCAAAGGGAAGTGGAGGCCCCCAGGGTAGATTCTGTTTGGCCTGCATTTATGTAGCACCTACTTTATGTCTGGAAGTCGGGGGGCCCATGGGCAGGATCTGTTCAGCCCACATTTATGAGGCACCTGCTGTATGCCTGGCAGTGAGGGTGGGGCCCCAGGGGCAGGCTCTGTTCAGCCCACATTTATGAGGCACCCACTATATGCTGGGCAGTGGGTACAGGGATGGCTGCCCAGGCTGGCCTGTCCCACGGAGGAGAGACAGGCTCACAGCGGGGAAGCCAGAACCCCAAGTGTGAAGTGGGGGGCATGGGATCAGAGGCGGCCCAGACCCCATGAGCTGGGGCTGCACCAGGCACAGAAAGAGCAGTGGCAGCGACTCATGGCTTCAGGCTGCTCAGGTCCTGCCTGGGCCGACTGCAGGAAAAAACAAGGACTTCCGCCTCCCTGCGGTCCCTCCCCTACACCCGCCCACGTGGCCAGGACGTGAATGTCACCATGGGGACTTCCGCAGGGCCTAGTGCTTTCCTTTTTGTTTTTTGTGTTTTGTTTTTTTTTTTTTGAGTCTGGCTCTGTCACCCAGGCCGGAGTGCAACAGCGCGATCTTGGCTCACTGCAAGCTCCGCCTCCTGGGTTCACGCCATTCTCCTGCCTCAGCCTCCGGAGTAGCTGGGACTACAGGCGCCCGTCGCCATGCAAGGCTGATTTTTTGTATTTTTAGTAGAGATGGGGTTTCACCGTGTTAGCCAGGATGGTCTCGATCTCCTGACCTCGTGATCTTCCCGCCTCGGCCTCCCACACTGCTGGGATGACAGGCGTGATCCATCGCACCCGGCCAGGGCCTGGTGCTTTCCCAGACAGGTGACTGCCCGTCTGGTCTCGGCTTCCCCTAAGCAACATCCCAGGATCCTGCGGAAAGACCCACCCAGGCCTGGGCCTTCCCTGCTCGGTGCAGGGCTGTGGGCGCGACCCCTGGCAGCAGGCCAGGACGTGGGGGGCCGCCCTGCCAGAGCTGGGACAGGGCCAAGGGACCCTCCACCTCTGAATTTGCCTTGGGAGCTGAGACTTCTGATGGGAGACCTCAGACCTCTGTCTGTCTCTTCCTCTGTCTCTTCCTCTGAGCCACAGGGGCTGCAGGTCCAAGCCTTTTGCCTGGACAGGCCGCTAGCCACCAGGGGGCAGCAAAATCCAGGCCCTGCCTCCCCGGCCGCAGGTGCCACTTCCTAGAACCTGGGCTCCCTGTGCCATCACCTGCGTGCCTAACCCTGGGTGTGCATTTGGGGCCACACTCACTGCAGCCCTTTAAGAATCCACCCCCTCCTCCCTCCCCTCCCCCTGGGAAAACACAAGGGCTGCCCTCCATGGTCTGGTTGTCAGTGAGGGACACGGGGCTGGGCCCAGACACTAGAATAAATTATTCGGGTAATACATGGTTCGATGAGGGGCCAGGTGAGCCCGTGGGGGTTGGGCAGCCATGGTCGGGTTGGATCACGGTCCAAGGCCGGCCCCCACTGCTGCAGGGCCTCAGCCCACTCTCACTTCCTGTGTCTCTGTCATGGTCCCAGAGTGCAGGAGCCCCGTTTGCTCATCTCTAAAATGGAGTCATGTCGCTCTGCCTCCCGAGCTATTGGGAGGTGACTGGCGGACACTCCCACAGGTGGCTGGTACACAGCAGGGCTCACAGGGGCACTGGACAAACCGGGGCTCCCCCAGATTGCTGTGGGCAGGGAGGAGCTGTCCCCAGCTCAGAGCAGCCCTGACGGGCTTTCCAGCAGGGGCCAGGGTAGAGGCCAGCGGGGCAGGGCCCCAGCCCAGGGAGCCCCGAGCTCCCTGCCCACGTCTTGAGCAGAAGCCTCCAATCTCAGGGGCTGCAGTCGGCCAAGCTGTGGGCCAGAAACTCAGGCAGAAATTGCAGGGCTAGTGCCTTTATTAAAGCTCCATGGAGGGGCAGCTCCAAGGCCTGCACGCCACAGTTGGCCGCCATTGCCCAACTGACACAGCACATCCCCCCCGCAGTGCCTCCACAGCCCCACACCCCGGGGCAATTAGCACAGGGCCATGCCCTTCCATTGCGCAGCGTTCACCCACCCCACCACCACTTCAGCATAAACCGTGGAGTCCTTTCCCAGGCTGGACGGAGCCGGGGTCCAGCTGCGGGGCCTGGCTGGGGAAGCGCTGCCCGGCTGGGGAGGCGCTCCCCAGGCCCTCCCCACACACCTGCCCCTCCCCGCCGGGCGCATCCCCACCTCCCGCTGCCTCAAACCGCCTTCCTAACAACACCCTTTCCCCAGAGCCCCACCTCCAATATGTAGACTGGCCGCTCCCTCCATGGGAGGGGCTGCTCAGCCCACGCCCCGCCCTGGCGCTAGGCACCAAGCAGGAGGGGAACGGAAATCCTCTCTGGTTCGCTGGGAGATGGGGAGCCTGGCAAAGTGGCCACCAGGGCGTCCACCGGGTCCCCTGTGGGCGGGGTTGCTGGGCGCTGCTCCTGGGCAGAGGCCGAGGTCTCTCCGGCCCGTTGCTCTTCATTCACCGTGGCCTGAGACTCCCCAGTACTCGGTGGAGGGAGAAGGCCGGAAGGCTTCCCGGAGGCGGCGCGCCAGGCCTTCCCTGAGGTCCATCCGCGGCGCTCTCGGCGGCCCGGGCTCCGGGAATGAGGTGGCTGGTGAGGCCCGCGGAGTGGGAGGCCGGTAGGACGCGCGTCCTGCCCAGCGCAGGCGACAGACACCCCTGCCGCCACCCCCGCCAGGCTCGCCGGGGACGTTTCCTGTTCTGTCCCCAGCTGGGAGCTGGGCTGGCACCGCACGAACTTCTCGGACAGCAGGGAGAGCAGAAAGGTGGCAAGGAGCGCCCACCCGCCCCTGCCTGGCCCCGCAGGAGGGCCCTGCGCTACCGCCGCACCGCCACGCTCTTCACTCTGGAGCACCGGCCTCAACGAGCGCGCGGGGCGGAGGGCGGCCGGGAGGCGGCGGCGGCGCAGGTGGTGGAGGCGTCTTTATGGGCGCCAGGCAGTGGTGCACGCTTTCCCACGCCCGGCAGCCAATTGGAGGCCAGGGCCAGAAGAAGCACGGCCCCGCCCCCTAGCTCCGGGCCGGGCCACCCCCACCCCCACCCCCCTCACCCCCCACACCCCCCACTCCCCGCTCCCCCCGCCCCCGGCCTCCAGCAGGGCGATGTGGGTAGGCGTGGCTGGGGGGTCACGTGGGACCTGACCGGGAGGAGGAGCCTGCCCATACGTCCCTCCGTCAAACCTGCTCCCTCCCTGTCCCCAGCTTTCCGACCACCTGACCTGTCCTCCATCTGACAGTCTTCCAGCCTGGCCAGGAGCAGCCCCAGCCCAGGCACCTGCCCGGGCCTGGCCTCCTCAGGGGTGAGGACAGGGGCCGCAGAGGCAGCTCCAGCTGTGGAAGCAACAGGGAGACAGGCCAGGGAAGGGGCTGAGCCGCAGCTACTGCACAGGGGGGCCAGGGCCACTGCTCCAGGAAGCCCCCACCCTCCTCCTGCACTTCCTGATAATCCAGGCCAGCGGCCACCTCCCCCAGGAAGCCCCCGACCCTTCCCTCCCCTGGGCTGGCTCTCATATTAAAAGGTCATCCTTGGAGGTGCTCTGGGCAGTTAATTCCAGGCAGCAGCCCCACACCCCAGCTTCTCCAAACCTGGTATTTGTTAACCAGCCGCCCTTGGGGGTCCTTCCATCAGCCTTGGGAGGCAGCAGTGCTGTCCCACACCTCAGACAAGGAGACTGAGGTCCAGGGAGGAGGCCTTACCCAGCTCACTGCCCCACCAGGTCCCTCTCCTGCCCCCTACACTGACAGGGTGGGCTGCTGGGTGGGCAAGAAGATGGTTGCAAAGGGTGTGAGAGCCGTGCAGGCCAGACTTGGAAGCAAGGAAGGTGCCAGCCCTGGGGACTCATGGCCAGCGTGTGGGGGCGAGCAATGGGTAGTGTGACGGTGGAGGCACGGCGCCAGGCATGGTAGTGGGTGCCTGCAGGGTCCTCCTGAGCCATCCTTTACCCAGGCACCCATGATAAATGACAGGCCCAGGAAGGGTGCCAGTCTCGGGCCAAAAGAGAGGGGGTAGCAGCTGGCCTGGGTGGCTGCACAAGACTACCCCTATGCCCTGGAGACCTCCTGCCCCCATGGCCAGAAGGGAGGTGCCTCCCTGTCACGAAAGTCCTGCTGGGGGTGGCCAGGTAGGCTGTGGCTGCCGCTCCGACAGCCCCGCCTGCCTGAGGCCATGAATGGCCGGGAGCCTTTTGTGGGTGAGCAGCTGGCTGCCGGCCCTTTCTGTGGGGCTGTGGGAAAGTCCTCGGGCCAGCCTCTCACAGCCTCTCAAAGCCCGGATTATCTCTGGGTCTGCAGGACACCCTCTCAAGGACGCCCCCAGCATGCTTGGGGGCAGGGACGCCTCTGCAGAGGCCCTGTCTGCTGAGCTGTGGCCCCAGAAGTCGCTTGGCCAGGAAGGGTCTCCTGAGTGGAAAGACCCCTCGGACACCCCACTCCATGCCCCCTACCGCATCCAACCGCCCAGACTCAGAAATGCCCGCCACGCCAGGCAGGCTGTCCTGGAGCCCCGGCTCACTGTTGTCCTGGCCTCTAGCCCTCTGGGGAAGGGCGTGCTCAGCAGAGGAGCTTGCTGGGGGTTGCTAGTAACCCCCCCTCGACCCCAGGCCACGTGGCTGCGCCCACAGCTGGGCAGACCCAAGCCAGATCCAGGGCTGAGATCACACTTGGAGGTGCTCAGGGCTGAGGGCCTCGAGGCAAGTGCTCACTTACTCAGCACCTACTGCATACAGGCCAGGCAGAAGCTGCTCAGAGTCCTGAGAGTGGGGCAGGACCACAGCTGCCGCACCCACACCGAGCAGGGGTGGGCCCAGCTCTAAGCAGAGCTGCCTGCGGCCAGCTGGCCTTTCCCTGACCCCCAGCCAGTTTCCAGGAAGCCTGGAACACGGGCAGGGGTCGCCCACCCAGGAAACCGAATGAAGGCGAGAAGAAGCAGAGCCGGGCAGTGCCTGGGGCAGGGGTCTGCGTGCCGAGGCCACTGCACATGCCTGGCGCTCATCCACTCTCCGTCCTCAGCACAGGCCTTGGGTGGGAGCGTTATCAGCTGCATTGCACAGATGAGGAAGCTGAGCCCCAGAGGGCCCACCTACTGAGGGGTACTCCCCAGATTTGAACCCCGTGCCCACAGCCCTCCCCACTGGGCCGTGTGCACACAGCCTGCATCAGGGGTAGGGCAGGGAGGCAGGCGCCTGCCTTGGTCCCCTCCTGGCACCTAGTGCCATGCCAGGGCCAGAGCGTGCAGGGGACAGCCAGGAGGCTGCGGGAACTGGAAGGCACTGGACAGGCCAGATGTGTGCGGTTTCCAGCGCGGTTGCTCAGGGAGCCTCGGCTGCTTCCCAGGCCTCAAAGGCAGCCTGGAGGGGGCCCTGCCGCCCGCTGGGACGACTGCTCCCCAGATGGCCTCTGAGGCCGGAGCTCAGCACACAAAGCCCAGGCAGCCCGTGGCGAATGAGTTTGTTGCCGCGCACGCGCCTTTTGTGCAGGATGAATGTCCGCAGAGGGGGGTGGATGTGGGAACCCACCCGGAGCGGGCTCCAGCCCAAATGCCCCTCCAGGCAGGGGAGGTAGGCGGGTGCCTGGGGCAGCACACAGCCTCGGTGCCAGCCCCGAGCCCTGACACAGGCAAGCAGTGCCGGGCTCCCCCTCCCCCACCTCACGCAGGAGCCACAGGCGAGGGAGGGCTGAGGGTGGCTGCCACTCTGCTGAGGGTGGCTCCAGGGCGGGGGAGCTGCCTGATGGGGCTGGAGCCCAGTGGGCTGAGGGCTACTGAGCAGGAGGCTGAACACATTCCCAGGGGCTCCAGGGGCTGGGCCGGGGTACTGGGGGGAAGCAGGACCTTCTGGAACCTGCCCTGGGCACCTTCAAGTCCAGAGGGTGGCTGCCCTCCAGAAGCCAGAGTCTCCCCTGGTTGAAGCCAGGATGCATCTCAGTCCTGGGGGTGGGGACAAGAGGCTGAAGGTCTCTGCCAGACCTAGGGGGCAACTAGAGGAGGAAGCGCAGACTCCCAGAGCCCCCTCCCGTTCCTCCTCCCTCACCACGGGACCAGCAGAACTCTCGGCCCGGGGGCTCACTTAATGAAAAAGGGTGGTTCCTGCCCGGCTGGGCTGGCAGCCTGACCTCTCCTCTGCCTAAGCTCGCCAGGCCTCTTCCTCCCTTCCCTCCATCTGTGACAGGGGTGCCATATCCACTGTGCTGCAGCAGGTCCCCGGAGACCCCCATCCATGGCTGTGGGGGTGCCCCAGGCATGGGTCCTCCCTGCTGGTCACTGCCGAGGGTCCCCACGCTGGGCTGGAAGCCCCTACCTGAGACAGCTGGCCCATCGTAATGGGGGTGGTGGTGGGGATGGGAGCCCCACTCGGTACCACACCCCAAATAGAGTGCTGATAAAGGCCAGCATCCCCTGTAAGAGTTGGGGCGGCACATCAAGGGAAGGGCTGGGATCCAAGGCTCAGAGAGAAGTGATCACTGGGGCCTGGGGCTTGAGCCCCACATCTGTGATCTCCCTGGTCCCCCTACACGTGGATGACAGAGGCTCATAGACAGAGGGTCCCCCACACCCTGGCCAGATAGTGCTCGCAGAGCTAGGGCACCAGATGGGGGGTGCTGGCACAGGGCCAGTGCAACAAGGCCAGGGCCACAGGAAGGGCCAAACACCTGCAGGCCAGTGGGACAAGAGAATGGACTTCCAGACCCAGAGTCCCAGAGCTGCCGGACCCCACCCAGGGCTTCCCAGGTAACTGACAACAAGCAGCACCCCCCCGCCTCCCAGCAGTATGGCCCAGACCCCAGCCCCTCACAGGGCCTAATCTGCTTCAGGAGCAAGCGAGCTGCCATCCCGCAAAGCCCTCAGCACTGCTCCAGGCTGCTGCTCCCCCTGGACTCTGCCCCCTGTGGAAGACACGTTGACCCCACCCTGTGTCTGTTTGTGGAGCCCCAAAGATCAGCTAGGCCACCCCCTCAATAATCAGTTGGGGAAAAAGGCCAAAAGTCAGCCCAGGACCCCAGCGAGTCATGTGGAGCTGCCAGTCTAGCCGGGAGGGAAGCTGGGACGCTTTTCAGTGCAAAGTAGGTCTTTCCCAGCGGTGGAAGAGCAGACCCGTGCGCGTGCTCTGCGGCAGGGACCTGAGGAAGTGCCTGTGGCCAGCGTGAGGGTTACATGAGCAAAGCAGGAGCCTGACCCGGGTGGGTGAGGCTGCCCACCTGCCCTAGCCCAGGGTTCTCTCTGGCCTCGGCCTCCACCTGGCAGCTGGGCCCTGGGTTTCCATGGGCCTCAGTTTGCCACCCTGTCCAATGGGCACGATGACGAAGCCTCAGGACGGTGTGGCCACACTCAAGTGCACACTCACTCAGTCCCCTCCTGAGGCTCCCACATCAGCCCCAGAAGTGAGAGGAATGGGGCACCCCCCGGGGGCGGTGAGGACAGCGATCGATCGTGGGAGGCTCTGCCTGGGGCAGGTAGTCCTTCACTGCGGGTGGGACCAGTGCTTATGAAGAGGGCCCAGCAGTAACCACTGCAGGCCACGTGGCCAGGCTTCTGTCCTACCACGCCACTGGCGTCACGCCAGGAGGTGGCCTTCCTGGATAGCATCGGGTGTGGCGCCCTGCTGTGTCTCCGTACAATGTTATTTATGGACGCTGAAACTTGAATTTCATCTTTTTCACAAGTAGTGAAACATCTTTCTTCTCTATTTATTTGTTTCAGCTGGTGCTGAGACCGGCCGACCTGTAATCCCAGCTACTCAGGAGGCCAAGGCAGGAGGATCGCTTGAGCCCTGGAGTTCAAGACCAGCCTGGGCAACACAGAGAGACCCTGTCTCAAAAAAAAAAAAAAAAAAAAAGTAAAAAACACTCTTGGGTGGGGGTGGGGAGTGGTACAAAATCAGTGAGAGGCCCAGACGCTCACCCCTTTTCTAAAAGTTTTACAAATATTAACGCTTCTGATCCTCCCGAAACCTAGTGAGGGGGCCCTATCACTGTCCCCATTTAACAGATGAGGAAACTGAGGCACGGGTAGGGTTAAGTGCCCTGCCCGAGGTCCCACAGCTGGGGACCCTGGGATTCCTCCCTGCTCCCGCCTCCCCAGCCTCTAAGAACCAGGGATTGTGGGGCTGGGGACGAGCCTCCTGAGCATTCCCTTAGCCCCTAACTTGAGAGCCCTCCCGGCCCAGGCGAGCTGGGACGCAGCCCTCCCCACCCCTCCCCAGCTCTCCGATGCGCGGGTTTCCAAGCCCCTCCCTCCGCCCGGCTGTGGGTTCGCGCTCGCCGGCGGTTCCCACACTGCGCGGGCGGGCGGCGAGGGAAGCGTGCCTGGGCCCCCCCGCGGCATTAGTGCCGGGGTCTGAGTCTGAATGAATGAGGGCGGCGGCGGGGGGCGCGGGGGGGCAACTCCCAAAAGACCATCTGGCTCCGCGTTATAATAGAGCAATAAAGGGCTTGTCTGCCTTTCAGAGGTTGGGAACGAGCTGCTCTCTGACACCGCGGGGTTTTTAACCAGCTTGGGACGGCGACCCGGCCCTGCCCCGGGGCGCACGGGGGGTGGGGGGACACCGGCGGGGCGGGGCGTGCGGCCACGTGGGCCCGGACGGCCCCTAATCCCCGCGCCCGTGAGACTGCGGGCCGCGGGCTTTCCCACCACCCACCCCTGCGCACCGGGGGAACCAACCCCACAGGTGTCCCCATGGTCCCCATAGCAGCCTGGTTTTACACTAGGGAAACTGAGGCCCGGAAAGCTGGGCAGGGGGAGCCTGAGGTTGCGCCCATGCCCTCTGGGGTGTGGACTCCAGTCCCTTGGTGAAGGTGGGGCCTGGAATGGTGCACAAAGCTGGGGCCTCAAGCCTGGCCTGGGACTTGGGAAGGCTGCAGTCTGTGGGGGGTGCCCTCAGGGCTACAGGAGCCCCCTCGGCTTCAGGAACCCCCACCCCATCTCCACAGATGCCCAGGTGCCCTAGGAGCAGCTGGCGTGCCCTGCGCAGGGGTGTGGGCTACTGTCTCAGCAGGGGCCCCAGTGGCCTCTCGGGTGCCAGCCTCACCCCAGCAGCCCTGGAGAACCCAGGCCCAAGCCAGGGCACCAAAGGGCATCAGCTCGGTGGGCCTGGTGCACCCCCAATTCTCCAGCAAGGGCCCTTCCCCCTGAGGTTCTTGGGTCAGGGCTGCGGCGGGGAGCCCAGCCACAGGTCCTGGTGGAGGGATGGAGCCTTACCTTAGTCAGATGAGAAATGGTACTTCCACCGCCCAGCTCAGCCCACCTATAGTGCTCTCACGCAAGGCCTTAGGCCTGCCTTCCCTGTTCAGACCCTACGGGTCCCCGTGTGGCCAGGTTGGTTGCGATCGGGAGATGGGTAGAGGGCCCTGCCCCCTGACTTGGTGCCCCTGGCCAGGTGCAGTGTGCAGTGCAGGGACTGGGACACCTGTTTGGGCCCACAAGCCGTATTCCAGGTGAGGATCAGACAGCAGGTGGCCAGCCCCAGCACAGAGTCTCCTGGGCTGGGGCTAACTGGGTATGGAGGGGGTGGGCGCTACTCTGCAGTGCCCCAGCTCTTTCCCCGCCATCCTCAGGGTTTGTCTCACTTCCAGCCACCTGGAGCCAGGCCTCCCAAGACCAAGATGAGCTTGGCAGGGAAAGCCCATTTTACAGACCCGTAAGCTGAGGCTCAGAGAGGAGTGGGGTGTGTCCAACAGTCTCTAAGTGAAAAAGACAAGGGCAGAGCCCAGCCTTGGCCTGGACCTTCTGCTTTCACCAAGCCACTCAGTGCCTGCCCCGGGGCCTCTGGGAAGGAAACACGCTCCTGGGGGACCCCTGCAGGTTCAAGCCTGCACTGCACACTGCACCTGGCCAGGGGCACCAAGTCAGGGGGCAGGGCCCTCTACCCATCTCCCGATCGCAACCAACCTGGCCACACGGGGACCCGTGGGGTCTGAACAGGGAAGGCAGGCCTAAGGCCTTGCGTGAGAGCACTATAGGTGGGCTGAGCTGGGCGGTGGAGGTACCATTTCTCATCTGACTAAGGTAAGGCTCCATCCCTCCACCGGATGGACTCTGCACCCCAGCTCTGCACCTCAGCGCAACACTGAAATGCCGCAGGAGATGGGCCTTCTGTCTCCACAGTCACGGGAAGAGCAGGTGTCTGTGTTCCCAGCCTGGGGAGTTGCTGCAGAGTAGGAGCTGAGAGGCTGACCCCCGTGAGGGCCCCAGAAGCACACCTGGGCAGGCCAGTCCCCTCACCTTGTGAAGCCTCAGTTTCCTCATCTGTACAATGGACTTGATCATCATAATCCAAAATCACAGAGTTGCCGTGCAGATGCGAAGCCCTTCTGGGCTGTGCACACAGGGGATGCTCATTTGGAGGTCAGGCTGTAGAGGCTGCGAGCCCTGTCCCACTGCAGCCCGGCTTCTCAGCTGGGTATCTCACTGGCTGTGACACCCCTGGGTGCTGCCAAAAGGTGTTACTCAAGGCAGACTCTCTAACCCACTTGGGATGCTCAGGCCCCCAGGTAGAATTCAGGCCCAAGGGGTGATTGGGGAGGGGGGTCTGATGTCCTGACCTCAGCAAATCGGAGTACTTCAAGCCCAGGGGAGGCTCCACATACTGGGGGGCTCAGCACACAGAGGATGATCTGCACACAGGAAGGGCTCTGCACGTAAGAGGTATCCACACACAGGCATGCTCTCTACACAGTGGGGGCTCTGCACACAGGAGGGGCTCTGCACACAGGAGCGGCTCTGCACACAGGAGGGGTTCTGCACACAAAGGGGACTGCACACAGGAGGGGCTCTGCACACAGGAGGGGCTCTGCACACGGAGGGGACTCTGCACACAGGAGCAGCTCTGCACACAGGAGGGGCTCTGCACACAGAGGGGACTCTGCACACAGGAGGGACTCTAGGGACTCTGCACACAGGAGGGGCTCTAGGGACTCTGCACACAGGAGGGGCTCTGCACACAGGAGGGACTCTGCACACTGAGGGGACTCTGCACACAGGAGGGGCTCTAGGGACTCTGCACACAGGAGGGGCTCTGCACACAGAGGGGACTCTGCACACTGAGGGGACTCTGCACACAGGAGGGACTCTGTACACAGGAGGGACTCTGCACACAGGAGGGACTCTGCACACAGAGGGGACTCTGCACACAGGAGGGGCTCTGCACACAGAGGGGACTCTGCACACAGGAGGGCTCAGGAACTGCTATTTACTTTAGCACAGTGTGAACAGGGAGGCCTATCCAGCCTCCACCCTGGACGATGAGAGAGTTCTCAGCCCACCCTCTGACCGAGGTCACTCCACGTCAGGCGTGCAGAGACAGGCCCAGCAGCTCCCAAGGACGTCAGACCCCCCTTCCCCAATCACCCCTTGGGCCTGAATTCTACCCTGGGGCTTGAGCATCCCAAGCGGGTTACAGAGTCTGCCTCATAACACCTGTTGGCATCACGTGGGAGTGTCACAGCCGGTGGAGACCCAACTGAGAAGCCGGGCTGTGGTGGGACAGGGCTAGCAGTGTCTGCAGCCTGACCTCCACCCCAGGAGAAGGCTCTGGCCCCTGCCCACCTTTCCTCGGGCCTCGGCTTCCCGACTGGACTCTGCATGCCCTGACCCCCTCTTCTGGGTGTGAGCAGCACACAGCGGCACCTCCTGTGGGAAGCCAGCGTCAAGGGGAGGAGCAGCTGGTCCTAAGCACTGAGGGCCACACCCTGAGCTCTGTCCCTTCTTGGCTCTGCTGCCAACTGACTGGCAGCATGCCCCTTGCCAAGGCCTGCCCCCAGGCATGGTGGTGGGGGGCATGACCGTGAGACCTTGGCAAGTTATTTTGCCCCTCAGCACCTCTGTCCCTCACCTGCAGATAGGGACGCACTTACCTGCCTCGGAGGGCCGCCAGGGGCCTGGTTGAGCACCGTTCCTACTGGGCAGGGCAGGGCAGAGGCACTCCTGTCAGGGTTTTTCCCCACAGTCACCCCAGGGCCCAGGGCTCACGTGGCACAGAGCAGTGCTCGGCCAATGCGGGTACTCTGGGAGTTAGGGCAGCGGGGCAGGGTGGGGACGGGTGGCCCAGCTGAGGACATCTGAGCAGGCGTGAGCATTCCTGGGCACATGCACGCAGATGCATGCATAGACACACATGGGCACACATGCACACACACACACACTGGTACACACAGACACATGGGCACACACGTACACAAGCGCACACACTGGTACACAGACACATGAGCGCACACACACACTGGGACACAGGCACACACACACACTCGTACAGACACAGGCACACACACGTACTCAAGTGCACACACATAAGTACATGCATACAGGCACACACACACACACGCACAGGTGCACTCACACAGGTGTATACACAGGAGCCTCCTGGGCTGGGCACGGTGGCTCACGCCTGTAATCCCAGCACTTTGGGAGGCTGAGGCGGGTGGATCACCTGAGGTCAGGAGTTCAAGACCAGCCTGGCCAACACGATGAAACCCTGTCTCTACTAAAAGTACAAAAATTAGCCAGGCATGGTGGCGTGTGCCTGTAATCCCAGCTACTCAGGAGGCTGAGGCAGGAGAATTGCTTGAACCCAAGAGGCGGAGCTTGCAGTGAGCCCATATCATGCCTTTGCACGCCAGCCTGGGCAACAAGAGCGAGACTCCGTCTCAAAAACAAACAAACAAAAAAAACCACAGGAGCATCCTTCCAGACTTGGAGATGTCAGTCCTGCTCACCTGGTCTCTCTTGCCCCAAGCTGGTGTCCCTGTAGTGCCCTCTGCCTGGAAGGTGCTTCCCAGAACTCCTCAAGCAGAACTCGCCAACACCCTCCTTAGTCACCGTTCCCTCTGGAAGCCCCTCTTGGTCACCCACCTTCCCCTTTGTCCCCACCTCAGGGATTCTTTCTCGCCCTTCTGAAGATGCAATGACTTCCTCCCATAGGAACCTATGCATGTGGATGCACGTATGTATGTATGTGAGCATGTGTGTGTTGTCTGTGTGTGTGCGTGTGTCTGTGTGTGGGGAAGCCCTTTCAAAAACTGCACAAGTAATAAATGCTCATTCAAGAAAACACAGACATGAAAAATTAACCAAATCTATGTCCCCAAAACTGTGTTGGCTCTGCTGGGGGGCGTGCGGCTGCCCGACTCTGCCACCGGTGTCAGACAGGCTCCAGCTCAGCTGTTGCACCTGGCTTCACCGCAGGTCCATGCCGGGCCCAGTCTACACCCTCAAGGCATCTCCCACAGGTAAGAGTGTCCCCTACCCCCAGTGCAGGAGCCTCAGTCCCAGCTCAGCATGTGTGCTCAAGCATCTGCTGACCAACGAAAGAGAAGCTGCCCACTGAGGGGGGCTGGCTGTGGGGAGGAGCTGGAACCAGCCCCATTTCTGGACCCAGGTCTTTGGTCCAGTTCTTCATTTAGGAGGGGAGGGGTGCAAGGAACTGAGGCCACAGGGAGGCCACCACCGGCCTAGCAGAGGGGCCAGGGCGTGGAAAGGGCCGAGGATTTCCTCTTGGCCTCATGGTGGTGCGCCACCCCCACAGAGCACCCCTAAAGACGAGAGCCGGCGGTTCCCACACTCCGCGCTCCTGGCGGCCTTCCCTGGTGACAAAGGGCATCGCGCGTGCCTCGCTGGCCGCCTTCATGCTACAGCCTCCCTTTGTCCACACGTCCGTGCAGGCCACCCACCATCTGGAGCTCCAGCTCCCAGCACTGATCGGATCGATGCGCTGCTCTGCCCTCGCCAGAGGGTGGAGGGCTGCAGGGAGCGGGGGGAGGCCACACCGTCCCTCACCAATGCCCCCTCCCCGCCAGAGGGCTCCCCGCACGTGAGCGCCCCAGGCTCCCTCCCCCAGCTCCGCACACCCCTCCCTTCCCACCACCCCACCTCCCTCAGCTCCTCAGGAAGAAGACGGGGCGCAC
Source organism: Homo sapiens (assembly GCF_000001405.40). Lineage (NCBI taxonomy): Eukaryota > Metazoa > Chordata > Mammalia > Primates > Hominidae > Homo > Homo sapiens. The sequence goes on along the minus strand of NT_187515.1, from coordinate 86,598 downwards.
CACCACACGTCCCCGTCTCACGTCAGACCCTCACCAGCTGTGTGGTGTGAGCACCTCTCTGCGCTGCAGACTCAGTGTAAACAGAAAATAAACAGTGCCTACCTCCTGGCTTCGTAGTCAAGTCTAAACTGGCAAGTACACATGAAGTGCATAATAAATACTCGAGTGTTGACTCCTCCTGTTAGCTGACCCAGAGTACATGTGACCTTGGGCATGTCACTTAACCTCTGTGACCCTCTTGCCCCCAGCCCCCCAGCTGGAGAGTGAGCACAGGCCCACGCACTTTGCAGGGAGGGCTGTTGTAGGAAGTCGGATTTCCATGTTCCATACCTGCCTGGTGATTCACAGATGCTCAGCGCCTGAGGACTCTTCCTCCCTCCCCCACTGCAGCTCCCGCCTGGAGCCCCAAGGAGAGATCTCAAACCTCTCCCAGCCACTCCACCTCCCATGAACAGGTGCCCTCCCTGGCCGAGGGTGGAGACTCGGAGCCACACCTGGTCCGGCTGCATCTGTTCACAGCTGGGGAGACAAGCTGGGTGGCTCCTTGCAGCAGGTGGGCTGGCTGCTGATGCGGGGGGTGGCCTGGCTCCAGGGCAGAGCCCTATGCATGGATGGGCCCAGGGCAATGGCAGGCAGTGCTGGCCACTGTTCAGGCAGGGGTCCTGGATGTGGGGGAGGCCGCTGTCTCTGAAATCTGGAACGGGGCCATCTCCCTGAACTGACTTCCCAGGCAGCAGGGCGTTTTGCAGACTTCGAGTAGAGTTTCCACCCAGAGGCCCCCAAGCAAGGGCTTCAGGGGCTGGAAGAGGAAGAAGCTGGGAGCTATGGTTACCCCTGACCCTCCTTCCCCAGGTCAGCCTGGCTCCTGGCCCCCGCCAGCCTGCCTGTTCCCCACACTCCAAGCTGGAAACCCTTGGGGACAGGAACACCAGGTCGGGGGTGCCCGGCACCACACCTACTTCCTCAGCTGGAGGCAGGGCCTGGGAAGGATTGTGGGGGCTGCCACTGCCTGGGCGGGGAGGGGGCAGCAGGAGGGAGTTCGTGGTTCTTCTCCAGAAAAGCTCCTCCTTTTTGTTTTCTCCAGTTGTGGCAAAATATATATAACATAAAACAACCATCTTAGCCATTTCTCAGCACAGAGTTCCATGCCATGAAAAGCATTCGTGATGTGCCACCATCACCACTGTCCACCTCCAGAAAATGTCCATCTCCCAAGCCGAACCTCTGTCCCCAGGAACGCTTACTGCCCAGTCCCTCCCAGCCCCTGGCACCCACCATTCCACTTTCTGTCTGTGAATCTGACGACTCTAGGGGCCTCCTACAATGGCACCACCTGGGATGGGCCCTTTTGTGACTGCTTTATGTCACTGAGCACAGTGTCCTCAAGGTGCAGGCCTGCTGTGACCTGCGTCACAACCTCCTTCTCTTCTGAGGCTGAAGAACGGTCCACTATGTGGAAGGACCACATTTGTTTGTTCACAGACAATGGGGCGGCGGCCGCCTCTTGGGTTTGGGAACCGCACTGCTCTGAAGACAGGGCCCAAATAACTCCCCCAGGTCCTGCTTTCCATTCTCTTGTGCATGGACCTAGAAGTGGAGCTGCTGGGTCCTATGGTTGCTCTGTGCTTCATTTTTGGGGGAACTGCCAAGCTGTTTTCTAGTGTCTGCGCCGTTTGACCTTCCCAGCACCACGTCCTGCTTTGGAGCTGGGAGCAAATGCCCCTGGAGCTTCCCATCGCCCCCCACCCCCACGGGCCCCTCCCCTCCGAGGAGCTCTTCGCTTTGCTGTCAGCCCTGGAGGGAGTGGTGCTGGGCGTGTGGATTATTTAGAAATGGGTCATGGTTCTAGACGCGTGCATTCCAGCTTAATCATGCCCAACTTGTAGGTTTTGCCTGAAGGCCCCCTGCCTCAACAGTTGCTGAGCTGTGGAGGAGAATAGAGAGTCCATGTTTCATGGGGACAGAGGTTCAGCTTGGAGAGAAGGACATTTTCTGGAGATGGACAGTGGTGATGGTGGCACAGCATCGTGAATTGAGACAGCAAAGTGCCCTGCCTCAATGTCTGTGTATGTGGAGGCAGGAGGACTATTACCAACTCTAGATGTGCCAACCCCACCCCAACTATCAAGCCCCTTAGACTTACTGAGCCCTCCAGGGTTGGGGGCTCAGGGAGGTGCAGGCAGGACAAACTCCCTCCCTCCTCAAAGCCCGGCTGGGGCAAGAACACCCCCATCCCACGCTGAGCTGCTGGGGGCAGCCAAGGTGGAGGATCCCAGCCCCCCAACACTTCACAGTGCTTCTGTGGAGCAGAGCCTGCCAGCCTGGAGCAGCCTCCAGCCCTCCCTCCTCCAGCCCCCTCCGCAGCCCACCGTGGATGGTGTGAGCCGGGAGCCTAGTGAGTTTCCCACACTTTGGCCCCATTCACAGTGTTAAACGGCCCACAAAGGCCAGGCGTGTGCCTCGGAGGCCGCCAGAGCTGCCATCTGGCCCGAACTCAGGGAGGGAACCAGCCTTTCATCCGGCCAGGATTCAACACCATTCATTTCATATTTCCCACAACTGAAAATTGGATCAAAGCTGCTCCAGTCCAGGGGGAGGGAGGAAGAGGCGGGAGGCAGCAGCCCCCACACAGCCCACCCACCACCCTCACCTCCGGCAGGCCGCCATCCTGGCCCACTGCGGGTGGGCGGGCCGTGGGGGTGGGGAGGTTGGACCACATCTCCCGGCGGCACGTGTCTCCTGTGGGCTGAGGAGCTGGCTCAGGGGAAGGGACCAGGACAGGACACAAGCCCCAGCCACCTGCCGCTCCAAAGCCTGCGGGAGCAGGGCCTGGCCTCAGTGCCACCCCCATATCTGGGCACAGGCCCTGTCCCCGCTGCCAGCAGCTGGGTGGTCAGGGCACACGTGGCTCAGGTTCCGTTTCCTGCTGGCGGAGGTGCTGGCCAGGGCCTGCCTGGGCTGGGGCCACCTGCCCGTGCTCCCGCACCCCTAGCCCCTGGCTAAGCACCTCCTTGATGTGGCCGCTGGACCAGCAGCGTATAGGTCATGGGCACACGGGTGACTACCTCGTCCTGCCCTCCCCACCCCCAGTCCAACCCCAGGGAGCCCATAGTCAGGCAAGGGACATGCCACAATGTGACTGCCGCCAGCATGAACCCCACTTCAGCTGCGAAATAGCTCCACTGAACACAACCAGATCCCCTGTGTAGCCGGGAGTCCAGAGCCCCTAGCCAGTGCCAGCCGCCATCAATGCCCAGAGCTGTGGGAGCCATGGCGTGAGCGCGTGGCCTGGACACCCCCACACGGGTTGCCCTCCTGCATCCATCAAGGGCCAGAGTGTTGTGGTGGGACCCCACCTGCTCAGAGATGAGCCCCCAGCAGTCCCAGCCCCCAGTGTCACTGCCTCCCTCTGACAGCCTGGAGCATGAGTCCCCTTCAAGGGAGGTGTTGTGGGAGTACAGCGGGGGTACGAGGGTGAATAGGGGCTCCCTTCCTGCCACCTCCAAAGTCACCTGATGTTTCTGCCTGGGAGCCTCCCAGCCTAACCCTTCACAATGGTGTCCGGCTGGCCTGTGGGAGAGCCACCCTGCATTGGCTTGAAGTCCTGTCTTCCCCTGCTGTCCCAGCACTGTCCTGGCTGCCCCCTGGACCGTCCATCCTTGTGCTGAGGACCTCCTGGAGCTAGGCCCACCAAGCGAGTCACTCAGAGCCGGGGGTCACTGCCGAGAGCCTCCGGGGAAGGCTCCTCATTGGACCCTGCCAGCTGGCCAGGGAACCCCACTCCTGGATTCAAACTCTGCCTAACCAGCCCTGATGCCAGCCCCAGCTCTGGGGGCTAAGGCCCTTCCGCTAGGACCCGGCAGGGTCCCAACCTGTCTCTAGGAGCCAGCCCAGGCCCCGAATCCTCTCCTAGTCTCTGCTGCAGAGCATTTGAGGAACTGTGACCGCAGGCTAGGGGGTGGGGGTCTCCCAAGGGACCCTCCCCTAAGGACCCAGGGTGGGATTCATTGCCTCAAAGTGGCTGCGGGCACTCAGCTCAGTTGGCCAGGTACCGGGGTTATTAGCTCATCCCATGGACCGGTGGTTGGGGGCGGGGGGCTAGGGCTGGCATGGCCTCTGATCCTCAAGTCTGCCACCTGGCACCCACTCCCTACCCACTGGCAAAATGCCAGAGGAAAGCAAGCCCTACAAGTGCCCTGGCTGCCAGAGAGACTAGGTGGAGCTGTGGCATGCATAAACAGTGGCCACAGCAAGCATGCCAAGAGCCGAGGCCTCCCGAGCTGCGTGGACACTGTAGTCAGATCCCTGGCCAGATAGGGGTGGGGAGAGGCCCCTGAGGGACACCTGCCAGCTCGTGGAGCAGCCCCAGTGCTGCTGTGGGTTACAGTGCTCCTGGGAGGACAGGGTGCAGGAAGCGGGGAGAGCTGCCGGGTGCCCGGCTCCGCGGGGAGAGCTGCCGGGTGCCGGGCTCCACGTGGAGCACGGGCCCCAGCTTCCTGGAGCTGCCCGGAGCCCAGCCAGGAAGGCACAAGGCCCATTTTCTAGGTCTGGAGAAGTCAGGAGTCCCAGGTGACAGTCAGGGGGCTTGTAATATAGGCACGTAGGACTGATCCTAAGAGCGTCGCCCCCTCTGTCCCCCTCCCCTGGAGGGGCAGCAGGTCCCAGTCAGGGAAGGTGCCCATCCCCCAGGAAGCCGTGGCACTTGTTCATTCTACAGTTTTTCCCTTATCTGCTCCTACGGCCTCTGCCAGCCAGCAGTGGGAAGCCGCTGGGGAGAGGCAGGGGAGGGGAGCGGAGGGGAGGGCGGGGGAGGGGGCCCTCCTTCCTGCCCCCCTCCCGTTTGGCGGCCTGGGAAAAGGCAGCATATTGAGGCGCGGGGCTCCCGGCATCAGGCCCCGGGATGCTAATGAGGGCGAGCGCGTTCCCACAGCCCGGACATTGTGCCGCGCGGCCCACCTGCTCCTTGGGGAGCGCCCATTGTGCCCGCGCCAATTCACAGGCAATTTAGCGTGCGCTAATGGGCCGGCGCCTTTGTGCGGCCCGCCCGGCCATTGGCCGCGGAGTGTGGGAACGGCCGCGGCGCCCGGACTCCAGGCGCCAGGCCGCCGCCCGCGCCTATATAGGGCGTCGGCGCGCGGGGCCGGTGTCCGCGCCAGCCCGGGACGCGCTTGGCCTTGCCCGCGCCCGCTCGCCTCGTCTCGCCCGGCCTCCCCGCGTCGCCTCGTCGCCTGTTCCGCGCCAGGCATGGCCCCCAGCACTGTGGCCGTGGAGCTGCTCAGCCCCAAAGAGAAAAACCGAGTAAGTACCAGACTCGCCCGGCGCGCTGTCCCCGCGGCCTCCGGTCCTCGGGGGTCCCTGCGCCGTGCCGGGCCAGCCTGACACCCCCTCCTCCCGCAGCTGCGGAAGCCGGTGGTGGAGAAGATGCGCCGCGACCGCATCAACAGCAGCATCGAGCAGCTGAAGCTGCTGCTGGAGCAGGAGTTCGCGCGGCACCAGCCCAACTCCAAGCTGGAGAAGGCCGACATCCTGGAGATGGCTGTCAGCTACCTGAAGCACAGCAAAGGTGAGCGCGCCCGGGCCCCCCGCGCCCCGAGTTCCCACCGCGCCCCGGCTCCCCCGCGCCCCGCCGCCCGCTCACCGCCGCCGCGTCTCCCCGCAGCCTTCGTCGCCGCCGCCGGCCCCAAGAGCCTGCACCAGGACTACAGCGAAGGCTACTCGTGGTGCCTGCAGGAGGCCGTGCAGTTCCTGACGCTCCACGCCGCCAGCGACACGCAGATGAAGCTGCTGTACCACTTCCAGCGGCCCCCGGCCGCGCCCGCCGCGCCCGCCAAGGAGCCCAAGGCGCCGGGCGCCGCGCCCCCGCCCGCGCTCTCCGCCAAGGCCACCGCCGCCGCCGCCGCCGCGCACCAGCCCGCCTGCGGCCTCTGGCGGCCCTGGTGACCCGGCGGGACCTGCGGGCGCGCGGCCCGACGACCAGAGGGCGAGCCTGCTCCTCTCGCCTGTAGGGAAGCGCCTTCCCGCCGTCGTCCGCCCCGGGCTTGGACGCGCCCTTCTCCGGAAGGCTCTGGCCCCAAGCTGGCCGGCCCGCAGGAGCCCCATTCTCAGAGAATGTGTGTGCAGAGTCCCTGCCGTTTTAGGACAATCAGGGCCCATCTTCTGCCAAGTGTCTGACCCCATGGGGTTGTTCTGTGTTTGCATTTAAGCAAGTGACTTCTGGGAAGTCCCCGGCCGCCCGGGGTTCTATGATATTTGTAGTGCCGGGGCTCGCACACTGCTGCCCCCAGCCTGTAGAGGACTTTCTTCAGGGCCCGTAGCTGCTGGGCGTACCCCTGGCAGGCGGGCTGTGCCGCGGGCACATTTGCCTTTTGTGAAGGCCGAACTCGAGCTGTATCCTCATAGGAAACAGTGATCACCCCGGACGGGCGTCCAGGACCCTGAGGGCCATGGCCAAAAGGCTCCTGAGTGTGCCTGGTGGTCTGGCTGGGGCTCACGGTGGGCTGTCTGGGGAGGGTGGGTGCCTCCACTATGATCCTTAAAGGATTCCTCTGTGTGGGTGGATGCGTGTGGGCACGACTTTGTACTCAGAAATTGAACTCTCAGTCACGTGGAAGCCACGGGACTGCTCCGAAGCCGCCATAATAAAATCTGATTGTTCAGCCCCCAACACAGTGTCGTCTGCTGTGCCTCACGCCTGTCCTTGGCAGCCATGGAGCGGGTCTGCAGGGGTGAAGGGGAATGGGCAGGGCCATGGTAGCAGTTAAGCAGGGAGGGACCCCTGCCAGTGGCCCCCTGGACCCCGGAAGAAGGGTGGGGTCCTTGCTCCGGAAGAACAGGGGGAGGGAGGGATGGAGGGAAAGCAGGTGAGGGGCAGGGGCAGGGGGAGGTGGGCTGGAGGGGTGGACATGGTCGGAGCCCTGGGTCTCCCCCCGCCCAGGCCTTTCACTAGCTTCCGGAAGGTAGGGGTGGGGCAAGGTGACAGCGCAGGACCTTAGGCTGTGTCCACTGAGAGGCGACCCAGGGCCACAGCCCGCAGTAGATCTGTTGCTACAGCCAAAGGGGCTTGGCCCTGGGCCAAACAGGAGAAAACATTTGCCCCGAGTTGCTGCTGCACACTCCCACGGCCTGCAGCGCCAGTCCTGGCATGGGCTCCGGGGACACCTGCCCGCTGGCCACCGTGCCAAGGCAGGATCTGGCAGTCCTGGCAGGAGCCTGCACGGGGCCATCCCTTGCCTCAGAAAGGGCATGTATTTTTAGGCAGGCCACAGGGTGTTGGCTGAGTCTGCAAGAACTGAGGCCTGTGGCTCCCAGGGACCAGCTCCCAAGGGGCAAAATCCATCCAGCAAGGATTGGGCCGGAGTGGGCCGCATTCCCACCCCCGCTGAATGGTAGCCCCGTGTGTGGGCCTGCCCTGCCTGCTCCTTCCTGCTCAGCCCCTCTCGCTCCGCTCAGCCTTCAGCCCCTTTCTGGCTACTCCACAGGCAGTCTAGACAGGGTCCCCCCACCAGACCAACCCAGTGCCTGCCAGTGGTCCCTACCGAGCCCCGGGGTATGGTGGGCAGAGGACAGGGAAGGCCCCCATTCACCTGCATGTTTCCCGCATGTTCAGTGGGCACACAGGTGGGCGCCCCTCATGGAGGGCACCTCCTGCCAGCCTGGCCCATGGCACACCATGCTGCCAGGGGTCTGAGCTGCCAGAGGTCTAAGCCGCCTGGGGTGTGCTCCACTCTTCCACCCAGGCCTCCCTGGGGCAGGCTCCCCCTCCAGAGCCACACACCCACCCCCTTGGAAGACACAGGCAAGGATGCCTCCTCCCTGAAGGCTTGCCCTGCGCACACAGATGCATTATCCCTGGAGTTTGTGCCGCCCCACAGGCCTGTGCTCCCAGGAGCCCTGCCAGGCAGCTGGTGGCATTCTCCACGTGCAGACAGAGGCTGAGGGCCAGAGACATGCAGTAATGACCCCGGGTTACCCGGGAGGGGCTGATCTGTCTGCTTCCAACACTGGGCTTTTTCCCAAGGCGCCCAGAGCCTCTGGAGAAGACGCATCTCTTCATGCCAGCAGGGCTTCCCAGCCACTCACCCTGGAACCCTGGCCTGCCCCACCTATACCCCTGTCCTGGCTCCAGCTGCTTCCAAGGCTTGTTCCTGCAGCCTCCCAGGCACCTGTCTTGCCCACAGGCAGCCTGCCTGGCTTCCCCCGACCACAGCACTTTCCACGGATCGCCATTACAGCACACATCTTCCCTACCCGCAGGTGCATGCCAGGCTGGGGCTCCTCCCAGGTGGGGCAGGGTTCCCCACTCCTCTGGTTTGCATGGGACTTTTAACATTGAAAGTCCCACGCCCCTGGGAAGCCAGGATTGAGTCACCCTAGCAAAGAGCGCATCACATTCGCCCTGGCGTGCAGGGCCAAGCTTACAGCAGGCACTCGCTGAAGGGCAGGGCTCTCTGACAGTCTGCAGACCCACGTGCCCCCTTAGAAGCAGGTGGGCGGCCTCTGCGGCCTCCCTCAGCAGGGCTCAGAGCACTTGAGTTAAGCCTGTGGACAGCGCGGTAAAAGAACATCAGTCCAGATGTTCTGTGCTGATGCGCGATCTCTGGAGGATAACCGCCCGCCCGCCCGCAGCCCCGGGCCTCTCGGACCCCTGCCCAGCACTGGCCCTAGCTCGCCCTGTAGCGGCCGAGACCTCAGAGGCCGGGGGTGGGGGAGGGAAGGGGCGGGGCCGGCGCCTCATTAACATAATCTATGCGAGGGGGCGTTTGGCAGTCAAATATATGCGCATATATCTCCATGGCTGATGAGCTGGCCGGGCACTTTCAAAATGGCGGAGTGTGGAGCGAGCGGCAGCGGGAGCAGCGGGGACAGTCTGGACAAGAGCATCACGCTGCCCCCCGACGAGATCTTCCGCAACCTGGAGAACGCCAAGCGCTTCGCCATCGACATAGGTAGCCGCAGGCCGGGCGCCGGGCGCGGGCTGCGGGGGCGGGCGGGGCGCCGGCGGTGGGCCGGCGAGCGGGGGCGGCGGGAAGGACGAAGGGCGGGGGCGCGGGCCTCGCGCACAGCCTCACGGGCCTTGTAGTCCGCGGGCCCGCGCACAGCCTCACGGGCCTTGTAGTCCGCAGGGTCGCTGATGCGCGGGCTCGGGGCGACGGCCGGACTACAGCTACCGGCAGGCGCCGCAGGGACCAGAGCGGGGCCTGCCGGGCCTGGTAGTTCGCGCGGCCGTCCTGGGTGGCTGGGGGCCGGGGTCCAGCGTTACCCGCCGCGAGGTGGGAGGGTCGGCGGAATTTTATGTCTTCGGCCACATCGGCATCTGGGCGCCCCGGCTCCGCCGCTTGGCTGGTGGCTGGCCTGAGATTTGGGGTCCTTAGTTCTGGTCGAGACGAGGACGAGCTCGGCGGGAAGCCCTTGGCAGAGTGGCCCCGAAAAGGCCGCGCGTTCCCGCGGCGTGGCCAGCTGTGGCCCGCGGGCCGGACAGTCCGTGCACAGGCCCCGCTCTCTGGAGAGTGGACGCCGGGCGTGAGTTCAGGCGGCCGTGGACGTGGGACCTGGGAACTCGTGCCTCTGGTTTAAAAGCCACCCGTGCCTTCCGTGGCCTTTAAGGCGGCCTGCACTTCTGCCCTGGCCTCTCCAGGGTCCGCTGCAGACCCTCCTGCCTGATGGCTGTGCTCTCAGTAATGACGGCGGGCCAGGCTCTGTTCTAGACCTTTTTCCCACGCTCCTGACTCCCGGACACCTCCCAGCCACCTCTAGGGGAGGAACGCGAATTACTCCCTTTTCGCAGATGAGGATACCAAGCCCCAGAAAGGTGAACTAATTTGCCCAGGGTCATCGGGCTAGAAAGTGGCAGAACCAGGATTTGAACCAGCCACTCCCTGCTCTCCTACTCTGCCCATGTTTCAGGCATGAGGGCTTCCTGGGGGCAGCTTCACCTGGAGAAACCCCCCTTGAATAGCCGCTGCGGCTTCACATACCTCTCCCTCTTAGCACTCATCTCGGTCGTAGGCTGAGTCTGCTTGTGTGTGAATCCCACAAGAGCAGCGGTGTGTCTTGTAGCCCCAGCCCCCGAAAAGGATGCCCAACCTGTCTTTGCCGCCCAGTAAATACTGGGATGAATGGGCCTGCCGCTGACTGCTTCCCACCTCCCTGGAAAAGCTGGGACTCAGAGAGACCCAGGCCATTCCCTCTGAGCTGTGTGCTCCTGGTGCATCTGACATGTTTGCTGCTGTGGTGTCCTCGGGGTTGTTGGTGTCATCATCTCTCTGAGATGTCCAGCCAGGGAAGGGTGTCCTCTAGGGAAGTGGGGGGCGATGAGAATGGAAGTAGCTATAGGTCCTGGCTCCCACCTTTCAGTGAGCTTATGGGAGGCAATGCTTCTTAGGGGGTGTGGCCTGGTGCCAGGTATGAGAACGTGTGAGTAGCATCTTTAGGGACCGCTGATAGGACTTGGGACTGACTGGTTATTGGGCTGCAGGTGCTGAGCTTGCAGCCCTAGCCTAGGGGATTGTCTACCGCAGGCCTCACCAGAGGCTCCCCAGCCATGCTTCCCAGCCTTCTGAGACCTTGAGGCCCGGTAGAGCGTGTGCTCTGCAAGGTTCTGCTGCCCTTACACTGGGGGATTCTGTTACTGGAAGCAAGTCGGGATTAAATGTTTCTGAAATGCAATTGCAGTTGACCTGCATAAGTCACTTGGGGAATGGCCAGGAGAACAGGGCTCACCGTGGATGTTCTGTGTGGCCCCGAGAGGCCAGTGAAGCCGCAGAGCTGGGGCTGTCCAGGAAGGGCTGTCGCAGCCCTAGAGGGCCCTGGAGTACCAGCCTGTTCTCCAGGCTGAGCCCAGGGGGTTTCTTGGTAGAAGGATACTCTAAGAGGTCTGTTTAGTGCTGGTATTTATTTCCCCTCTTCAAAGTTTCTCCCTGCGTCTGGGTCCTGTGTCTCTGGTTCTTAAGAGGACCTGTTGACTGATACTGAGAGACCTTTTGTTTGTTACTCCTGACCGAGCTGCTGGGAGGCCACGCTCAGGGTGGGGTGTCTTCAACCCAGGAACCCTCAAAGCCAAAGTGCTTGTCAACAGTGTTGTTTAAAAGCAGGCTTCTCCCATTTCCTCTTCCCTTGCCTGTGTCTGGATCTAGGAAAGCTCACCTGCCCTGTGTTCTGGCAAGCTGTTTTCCTCTCGATGGGACGCTGATGTCTGCTGAGCAGATTCACCTCTTTGAAAGCAGCAGGGACGTTGTATTTCTCAAAACATACTGCAGCTTCGATCTGATTTTAGGTTTCTGCGGGCTGTGGGGAGGGTTCCTCAGAGGCAGGTGAGACAGGAAGGGGCCACGGGGCGGTGGTGTCTGCTTGGCTGTCCTGCCCTCCATTGGTGCCCAAAGAGGAAACACAGGACCAGAGAGAATGGCAGAGGGGATGGGGCCTGTGGGACAGGGAGAACTAGAAGGCCATGGCTCAGATGTGAAGAGCACAGGTGACCAAACCTCTGGGAAGCCCCCTTCCCCCACCAGCTGTTGGCCTCAGGGCCGAGCGCGGGCAGCCCGGAGAGCCGCCAGGAGGCACTCCTGTCACTGCCTTGCCAGGCGCGGTTTGCTGTGATTCCGAGGGGTCCCTGAGCTCAGCCCGGAAGGGTCCCCGCCCGCAGGCGGTTCCCTCTGCTCTAACAGATCTCCCTGCTGTGCGTGCCCCTCGCGCCTCAGGTCCCGTTTTGTCCCCCCGGGTGTGGGGAGTAGGCAGACGGAACACTGGCCTTGCTGGGCCTCTCCGTGCAGGGGTCTCAGGGAGGGAGGATGCGTATCTTGCAGAAACCAACCCACCCCCACCTCTGTCCCAACCCCAGTACATCCTGTTTGGGCATGTATTTAACACAAAGAACCCAGGGCCTGAAACTGGATTTCTGTGACCTGAGAGTTTGTTTATACTGACTTTTGATGAGTCTCTTAAAATAGATCTTCATCCTCTTGCATCATCTGTCGTTTTAGAAAACGATTTATTTACTGAGGTGAGTCGGCGGCATGGTGCATGTTAGTGAGACTCTCCGGGCCCGGCCAGCACTGGGGGCAGGGGAGGGGATAAGGAGGCTTAAAGCCACAGGCTAGGGGATCAGATTGAGCCTGTGACGCGTCCACCAGACTGTACGCCAGCCGTCGGGGAGCCTGCCCTCACCACCAGGCAGGAGGTGCCCTGGGATGGCTGTTGTGGGGCCTGGACACGGTGGGTTTTGCTACATGAACAGCATTGGCTGTTTGCTTGGTGTTTCCAAATCTTTTTACTGACCTGAGTGCTTGTTCTCAGACATCCTTATAGTATTTTGTCAAAAAACAATAATTTGAAAATAACTTTAGCCTCATTACTCTCATGATGTGGGATTTTTGCCTCTTTTTGTCAGGCCCTGTAAGAAATGCACTGTGTTAAGTCACTATAGCACCATCCAGTGCCCTCCGTTAAGTCACTATAACACCACACGGTCCCCTCTGTTAAGTCACTATAGCACCATACGGTGCCCTCTGTTAAGTCACTATAGCACACACAGTGCTCTCCGTTAAGTCACTATAGCACCACACGGTCCCCTCCGTTAAGTCACTATAGCACCATCCAGTGCCCTCCGTTAAGTCACTATAGCACCATACGGTCCCCTCCGTTAAGTTACTATAACACACACGGTGCCCTCCGTTAAGTCACTATAACACACACAGTGCCCTCTGTTAAGTCACTGTAGCACCGCGCAATGCACTCAAAGTCACATTTTGTTTCTTTTTCTATTTGTCATTCATGTTGTTTCAAATCTATGAATACAACTCTAGCCTCAACAATGTCTGTTTTTTTTTTTAACTTAGAAGAATTTGTCCTTGAAAAGGCCTTCTTCAAGAATCTTTTCACTTTTCCCTGAAATCTGGTTCAGGTACATAGAGCCCCTTCCATTTCCTGATATTTATTCAACCTTTGATCACAGGCGGCATCCTGGAAGCCACAGGGCTTCTCGAGAGCATCAGAGAGACTTTGGCCTGTGGGGAAACGGACTTTGGTGGCCTCTGACTTCTGGCTACTTTTGGGGCTGGGGCTGCATTTTCTGCCTGGAGCCTCTCAAGAGTAGCCAGCGGCACCGTTTGCCTCTCCAGGGTAGGGGAGCTGCTCAGGCCCCGTTACCGCCCTGGGCTGTGAGGAGAGCCTCCTTTGTAAGCAGGGACGGTCGAGGGTGTACTTCTTAAAACGAAAACAGCCTGGATTTGTCAGCTTATCGCTTTGGGTCATTAGCAAGATCACTTGAAACTGAATTTTCTTAAAGCAGTGAGGATAACCAAGGTTACCCAAAGCAAGACAGCTCTCCCTTTCCTCTGCAGGACTTGGTGCCAAGGGGAAGCGGGACCTCTTGAGCTCAGTTTGGCCAGGGAGCTGAGGAGGAGCAGAATTTGAGAAAGAAAAGTGTAGATTTGATTGTTCGTTTTCCTGTCCTCTCTTTTGTGCCCACAGGGTTTTTAAGTTCCAGTAGCCCCAAACCCCTCATCTACAGAGACTTTAGTCTCCAGGACACCCAGAGAGTGTGGGGCATGGACCCCCAGGCCCCGCTGTGTCCTGGTCCTGAATCCTGCCCGGTTTGTGTCTCCCCTGCAGGCGGGTCGTTAACCAAGCTGGCCTACTATTCAACGGTACAGCACAAAGTCGCCAAGGTGCGGTCTTTCGACCACTCCGGAAAGGTGAGCCTGCACTGTGGCCACCCGGGGCAGGGCAGCCGCTTCTCTGTCGTCTTGGACCTGGCACTTGTCTCGCAGTCATCCCTCTGCTGCTGCAGACCTCGACTTTAGTGTCCTGGGAGTTTCTAGCAGGGACAGCCTCCCCTGCCTTCCGCCGTGTCCCTTCAAGACCCTTTGTAGGAACCTGCGCCCGCCTGTGCTCCCCCGGGAGAGGCTTCCGCTCCTGCTGGGTGGCCCTGAGGTCGCCACGGTCCTAGGCTCCTCCCTCTTGCCCAGGATTCTGCCTCAGAGCGCCGCCTGGTTGAAGGCTGGCGCGAACAGCCAGCTCCACTAGGGCAGGGTGCGCACAGCCCAGCCCGGCGCGGTGTCCCACACACATGCGGCCTCCCCTACTCTGTTTTCCAGGACACAGAACGTGAACATGAGCCGCCCTATGAGATTTCAGTTCAAGAAGAGATCACTGCTCGACTGCACTTCATTAAGTTTGAGAATACCTACATCGAAGCCTGCCTGGACTTCATCAAAGACCATCTCGTCAACACAGAGACCAAGGTCATCCAGGCGACCGGGGGCGGGGCCTACAAGTTCAAAGACCTCATCGAAGAGAAGCTGCGGCTGAAGTGAGTGGGGATCTCAAGGGCGAGAAAGGAACATGTGTCTGCCCCCGAGTCCCTGGGTGTCCCAGAGCCGCGTCCCTGGCGCTCGTGTGTCAGATTGCGCATGGGGCATGGCTGCCCCTTCGGACCAGGCAGGCTTGCATGGTTGCACCTGTCTGTGGCCCAGACTCTTTAAGGGGTTGGCGCTTCCTTTTCAGAGTCGACAAGGAGGACGTGATGACGTGCCTGATTAAGGGGTGCAACTTCGTGCTCAAGAACATCCCCCATGAGGCCTTCGTGTACCAGAAGGATTCCGACCCTGAGTTCCGGTTCCAGACCAACCACCCCCACATTTTCCCCTATCTTCTTGTCAATATCGGCTCTGGAGTCTCCATCGTGAAGGTAAGACCCGGCTTCATGAATGAATGAGTGGATGGTTTAGCCATAGTTTGTTAAGCCCTCGCTGTGTGCAGGAGCCAGGGCTGGGCACATGGATGGGGCCCAGTGGGCGGGAGGGGGGTGGCGAGGCTGTGAGCTCAGAGCCTCTGTGGGAGGGGCATCAGCGCCCCCAGGCTTGGCCATGAGAGTCCTCCCACTGGCGGTTGGGGTGGGGGCGGGGTTCACCCCAGCGCAGCACATGGGGCGGGGGGCGGGGGAGCCTGTGTGGCTGAGGGCCCACTGAGGGCACACCTGCCCTGGCTCTGTTGCAGGTGGAGACGGAGGACAGGTTCGAGTGGGTCGGCGGCAGCTCCATTGGAGGCGGCACCTTCTGGGGGCTTGGCGCTCTGCTCACCAAAACGAAGGTATGCGGCAGCTGCCAGAGACCTTCCAGGGGTCTGCGGAGATGTCTGCTTCCTTCCCCCGAAGGCCTGCAGCTGGGCGGTGCAAAAGCTGCTTCCGGGCCTCCCTCCTGACTCGCGTCAGTGGGTCTCTGGCCTCTGCGGCTTCACTCTTTGCGCCCTGAGGGTTGGGTGTCCCAGCAACCCAGAGCTTCTATCCTGGCTGGGTGGCCCGAGGGTCCCGCTTGCCGCCTCCTGCCTTTGGTCCCACGCGATGAGGGCCCATTTACCCCCTGCCCGCGCGTGCCTCCTGCCATGGGCTTGGTTTCTGGGGTCGTGGGGATTCCAGCAGCTCCTGGCGCCTCACCCGCCCCCTCGCCGTGTCCTGCAGAAGTTTGACGAGCTCCTGCACCTGGCCTCGAGGGGCCAGCACAGCAATGTGGACATGCTGGTGCGGGACGTCTACGGCGGCGCCCACCAGACTCTCGGGCTGAGCGGGAACCTCATCGCCAGCAGCTTCGGGAAGTCGGCCACCGCCGACCAAGGTGCTCACCCCGGCCTCTGCCGCCAGAGAGCAGGATGGTGGGGACACTTGGGGTCTCACGGACAGGAGCTTCCCCCACCATTGCTTTCCCACAACTGCTCCCTGGAGAGTCGGGGTCTTGGGTGTCAGCCCTGTAACCTCTTCCTGCCGAGTCGCTGCAGCTCAGGCCCACTGCTCAGAACGTCGGCAGATAAACGCCACGGTCTTGGTTTTGGAAGAAAAAATAGTTTCCTGATTGGGTTTTTTCCTCCTTCAAAACAAAGCTTAATCCGTCCAGGAATGATTCACACATCACACGCAGCCTCCCGCACTTGGGCTCCAGTTCCCCCACTCAGCTCTCTCTCCCCCTCCCCTCCCACTCAGCTCTCTCTCCCCCTCCCCTCCCACTCAGCTCTCTCTCCCCCTCCCCTCCTGCTCGCTCTCATGTCGTGCACTTGCTGTACTTGGAGATGAGTGCCTTTTCCTTCCCTTCCTCAGAGTTCTCCAAAGAAGACATGGCGAAGAGCCTGCTGCACATGATCAGCAACGACATTGGGCAGCTGGCCTGCCTCCACGCACGGCTGCACAGCCTGGACCGCGTGTACTTTGGAGGCTTCTTTATCCGGGGCCACCCCGTGACCATGCGCACCATCACCTATAGCATCAACTTCTTCTCCAAGGTAACGGATGCGCCGCCCTCCCCAGCCTCTAACGCAGACCCCCCAGGATCTTCCCAATCAGTCATGCTGGTTAGACACCGCAGCACCCCCAGGGAGGCCTGGAGGGTGGGGGCCAAGAAGCCCAGCACCCCTCCCTTCTGACTGATTCTGGGCAGCCTACATTTTGTGGCACCGTGGCCACCTGAGTTTGAGTACATCACCAGTGATGAGCATTCTAGAGAGCTCCAGGCAGGCCTGCTGATCTGCGCTGGGGTCAGGGTGCCCCTGCCCCCGCAGAGGCACGCCCACCCACATGCCTGACGCAGAGACTTGTGGGCCAGGGACTCGCTGCATGGGAGAAGCTATCTCACCCTTAGCTTTCTTCAAACAGCAGCCCGCCCTCTGGTGCCAGGCGCGATTCCACTGGCAAGTATGCCGTGGGTGCCATGGCGCCTCTTCGAGGGTTTGGGCCGCGCGGTGCGAGGCCCGCGCACGTTGAGCTGGTTTGCGGAGGCACCGGGTGTTGTGTGGGGCCAACAGCAGCACGTGTGCTTTGGCCACGGCAGGGGGAAGTGCAGGCGCTGTTTCTGAGGCACGAAGGCTACCTGGGAGCCATCGGAGCGTTCCTGAAAGGAGCTGAGCAGGACAGTGAGTCGCGGTGCTGGCGCCCCTGAGCAGCGTGGGGCCTCAGCTGTGGCCTGGGCCTGTGCTCCAGGCCAGGGCGGCCCAGGGTGGAGGTGGGGTGGGGAGCGTGAGTCCTCAGAAAGTGACAGCAGCAGGCATGTCTAACATTTTAACAATTTAGTTAATAAGCGATTTTATACCCTTTCCTCCTCCACTCTCCTGCTTTTGAATCAAGGGCAAGGTTAACACAAGTGACCTGGCTTCTTGCTTTCCAGATCCTAACCAGTACAGCTGGGGAGAGAACTATGCAGGCAGCTCCGGGCTGATGAGTGCATCACCCGAGCTCGGCCCGGCGCAGCGGGCGCGGAGTGGCACTGTGAGTAGTGGGCTCTGGCCGCCCCGGGCCCCAGGGGAGCAGCCTATGCCGCACTCACCTCGCCTGTCCCTGAGCGAAGCCTCTTGTGGCTGTCCCGGCTGAAAGGCGCCTCTGCCCATGGCGAATCCTCCCATGGACCTGGGGTATAACTAGGGGCAAGAGAAGGACACTGTGGCTTGCTTTCCCATCTCCCTCATTGGGTGCTTTCGTATTTTGGAAACATTCAGCAGGAATTACGGAGTCTGTGTGATCCGGCCTTCTTGTTTGCAGAGAGATTGCTAAAGTTCAGGGGTGACGGGGACCTCTCCCCACGCCAGAAGGCCCGTCCACTTTGGAGTTGAAACCCGAAACCGCAGGAGCCACCCAGGGCCCTGCCTAGGACTGCGCGCTCTGCCGCACACTGCCGCGCACTGTGGCTGATGGTCTGTCGGTTACAGTCTGCTCTCCTCGGGGTGTCCCGGCTCATTCCTTGGATCCCCAGTGGGTTTGCCCTGGCCTGAGCTGGGTGGCACTGGCGGGCTAGGAGACGCACCCCATGTCTGCCGAGTTGGAGCTGCTCCGGAAGGGTCCCCCGCCAGGACCTGCGTCAGCCACGGGATGCCCCCAGCACAGCCCCACATGGCAGGAACCGCCCCGTGTCACAGGCTGTCAGGGTCCTCGACCGTGCCCCCCCGCGGGGCTCATTCCTTCTGTAGCTGTGAGCAGTTAACCTGAGGTCACGCACAAAGCTAGTCGGACCCCTCAGGACAGGCCGCTGGCATTGTTGGCAGGAAGTTGCTTGTCATTTGTAGACATGGGGTTCAGTGTCAGTATTTTCAAGACCGCGACTTGTTGAGTTTTGGCTTCTCAGGAGGGCGCCTCCCTTTTGTGTGGGTCCTGCAGTTCACACCAGGCCACGGCCTCGCACAGACGCACCACACTGGCCGCAGCCCTGGTCTGCCTTTCCCACCGCCAGCACTAGGCAGGGGAGTGGGGGCGAGGCTCTGGGGGCCTGGCAGAGCCCCAGGCTCTCAGCTTTTGCCCTGCTGTTGGGCAGAGGGGCTTGGTGTCTTCCAGCCTCAGTTTCTGATTTGCCAAGTGTGCATAATTTGCCAAATGTCCTGGACTGTAACCTGGAGTGACTGCGTGGACGGCCACAGTGCTTCGGGGGCCCCGTTCAGGAGGCGCTTGTTACCTATTTGGTACCCCACCAGTGGCACAGCCCTGCCAGGCAGGAGGGGCCCCCACCTTACTGAGGATCAAACTGACATGCAGAGAGATGGAGTCATTTATTTCAGTTTATATTGTCCAAAAAAGTCAAAGCGAAGATTTGAACCCATTTGTCAGGATAGAAGGAGCCTGCGACCTGGCAAGGCAGCACCAGGCGATCCCGGCTGTGGTCCGTGGTAGTTAAGGTGGGGCTCCTGCCGCCTTCTGCACTGGCTTTGGGAAGTCACTGGCTTTTTCCACGTGGAGCTTCTGCCCGGCATGGGCTTCCCACCTGGAAGGCGTCCCCTTTGCTCTGGAGGTCCCTGCCCACCCAGAGGCTGCTTCTCCAGCCCCAGGGGTTGCCAGCAGGGGTGCCCCAGTGGAGAAGGGCAGAGGGCCAGCATGTGACCTGTGGGGTAGCCACCGGAGGGTGGGAAGAGGCGGTCAGCTACACAGTTCCCCTCATAGCCCCTCTGGTCCCAGAGCAGCGGCTGCTGCGGTGAGCGTGCAGAGAGCCGAGTACTGATGTGTGCGTCGGCTCAGTTCAGTTCACTTCCTCCCGGCATAAGGTAGAAAAAGCCAGCAGGGCCCGTGAGCGCGCCTGTGCTGGGTGCAGGTGGCCCCGGGGTGCCCTGGGTGCATAATGGCCTGGCCCTGCCATAGTCCTTCATGGACAGAACGTGCTGGGAGGCCCGGCAGCCATGGAGGAAGAAGGGTGCATGTGGGGCGTGGGGACTCCCTGCCCGGCACGGAGTGGAACACTGCCTGGTGCTTAGTGAGGACAGAACCCCAAACCTCTGTGTGCAGACACGGCCACCTGGAGGACCAGAGGTGGGAACAGTGTGACTGCAGGGGTCACGGGAGGAGGTGAAACTGTAGGGGTGACAGGGAGGGGTGACTGCAGGGAGGTGGTGATGGGGGAGGGAGTTACTATAGGGATGGTGGAGGAGGGGTGATGGGAGGGTGACTGCAGCGGTGATTGGGGAGGTGTGGCTGCAGCGGGGAGGTGCTGGGGGCAGGAGGCGTGTGGTGGGAGCAGACGCAACCCCAGTGTCAAACCAGGGGGTAAGTCAAGGTATCCGGCTCAGGCCGCCGGGCAGCTGAGGGGGCCCAGTGGGGGTCTCGTCTGTGGCCCAGAGACGTGGCGGAAGAAGGCAGTACATCTCCCTTCTTAGAGAGAGAGTGGAAGCTTCTGAGTGTGGCTTGGGTCGTTCTGAACCATGGTGACGTTTCCACCCTGCCACTGCCTGTCTTCCAGTTTGACTTGCTGGAAATGGACCGGCTGGAGAGGCCACTGGTTGACCTGCCGCTCCTCCTGGACCCGCCCTCCTACGTGCCCGACACGGTGGACCTCACCGATGACGCTCTGGCCCGAAAATACTGGCTCACCTGCTTTGAGGAGGCCCTGGACGGGGTGAGGGCTCCGGGTGCCGTCTAGACGATTCCAAGGCCGCAGCCGGGTTAACCTTCCAAGGCTCCGGGGGCAAAGCCAAGGTGGCGAAGGGGGACAGGCCAGTGTTGTCCAGAAACCCCTTGATCTGCGTCTGAGTGAGGGGGCGATTTTGGTTTCTCAGGCAAAAATACCGCTCCTGGCCACCTGGTGGGTCAGTGAGGACGTGGCGTCTGCGAGGCACGTTGCTTCTAAGGGCAGCTGATAGTTCTGCTAGCTAGCACATTCCTTCAAAAAGCAATTTAGGAGACGTCTCTGCTCTTTTGAGGTGTGACTGAGGTGCGGGAGGCATTGTGGGACCCTGACTCTGGGGGTGGGGTGAGACTCAGCCCCAGCAAGCTCCCGGCGAGGCCACCTTGGGACTCCTGCGTCCCACCTTCTCCAAGGCTGGGCTGGTCCCGTGGAGCAAATGCCAGGCCCTGGGCCACGCTGCCCCTCAGGAGCTCAGCTCGGGGCCAGGGAGCCCCGGTAGCAACACGCACTCTTCACGAAGCCCTCGGAGAGGCCGGGTCGTGCCAGGGTTTGTCCTGAGGGAGGAGTCCCAGCCCTGCCCAGGACCCGGAGTGAGCTCTGAGTGCCCAGAGCCCCTCGTCCCCGGCACAGGATGGGGGCTCGAGTCTGAGGACGTGGGTCTTGGCCTCGGGTTTCCTGGGGGGTGAGGGACCAAGGTCACTCCTGCTCCTGCCTCCCAGGGCAACTGGGAGGGGCGAATGGCAAAGGGAAGCCTCGGGTGACCGTGAACTGTCACCGTCAGCCTTTCCTGTTCCAGTAGAAACTGCCCTGACCACAGCCCAGGCAGCCCCCACCCTGCCCGAGTCCCCCACAGCAGGCCCTGACCCTGCCCCGGGAAGCCCCCCATAGCTAGCCCCCACCCTGCCCCAAACAGCCCCCGACAGCCGGCTCCCACCCTGCACCAGGCCTCCTACAGCCGCCCCCACCCTGCCCCAGACAGTCCCCCACGGCCGACCCCCACCCTTCCCCGAGCCCCCTGCTGTCACGTGGGGATTCGCAAGCAGCAGGGCCAGCGCTTGACTAACCCCCTCCTTCTGTCGCTGGCAGGTAGTGAAGCGCGCAGTGGCGAGCCAGCCAGACTCTGTGGATGCAGCCGAGAGGGCGGAGAAGTTCCGGCAGAAGTACTGGAACAAGCTTCAGACCCTGAGGCAGCAGCCCTTGTAAGTGCCCAGCACCCCGGTGTGTGGCCACCTCTTCCATCCAGAGGGCCCCTGCACCTCTGAGAAAGTGCCGTGATGTTGGCATTCGGACCCCAGCTCGCTGGGGGTGGGTGTGGGCCCTGGCGGCACAGCCCCCTTGGACCCCGCCTCAAGCAGCGTTTGCACTGCCGGGCTCCTGAGGACGTCCGTGGCACAGCCGAGGATGGCAGACGGGCGGGTGTTCGGCCTGCCCTGCTCAGCGCCCTCTGCCGTGTCTGTCCCCAGCGCCTATGGGACCCTGACCGTGCGCAGCCTGCTGGACACCAGGGAGCACTGTCTGAACGAGTTCAACTTCCCGGATCCCTACTCCAAAGTAAGTGCAGTGTGCCCTGGCCTTCCGCTCGCTCTTGTCCCCGTCCCGCTGGCACCGCGTGTCCTGTCTCTGTCCCGCTGGCTCGGGGCATCCTGTCCTGTCTGAGGCCATGCAGGTTTGGTAGCGGCCCCAACTCCAGCCCTGGCACCACAATAGCCAGGGCCTCTGTTGGCAGCATCTGCTGAGGAGCTGTGTTACCCCCACAGATGCTGGGGCCACTTAGGGGTGGGGACTGCTGTGACTAGAGAAGAAGGGTGTGAACCCCAGTTTGGATGTGTTCCTGACAGACACAGGCTGCCTGCCTGCAGGAGCCAAGGGCCTCCCAGCTTCTGTGAGGGTGGGCGATTGTGGTTGGGGACTGCTTTCCCCTCATGGGGAGGGGCTGGAACCCTGGACCACCCTGGCTCCCTCCTAGGAGGCTGGACAGTGACCAGAGGCCTCCTATCCCGGCAACGTGCAGGGCCGTGCAAGGTGGGCCTTTCCGGGCGTCCGTTTTGCTTCCCCAAGTCTGGCGGCCAGAGCCCTCCTTGGCCCTTTCTGCCAGGAGGCAGCGGGCAGCAGCGGAGGCATGGACTCCTCCCACCTCTTCTGGGAAGGGCCAGCGCCATGCCTCCCTCCCCTCACACGCCGAGCCTTGTGACAGCGGAAGTCTGGGTGTCGAGGGTTTTGAGGCCAGGGCTGTGGGTACCTGTGGGGGCCGTGTCCTCCACTCTTGTCCTGCCCTTCACCCACTGCTCAGTCACATGGGGGCTGAAGTTGTCCTGGGCCTCGTCCTCAGAGCCCCGTGCAGCTGTGCGCTGGCCACTGTCCCGGACCGATAGGCTTGTGCCTGGTGGGGTCCCAGTTGGGCCTGAGTCTTCGATCCTGAGGGGCGTGGTATGGAACAGGCTGCGCCTGGCAGGTGTCCAGGGTGGGCTGAGGCCACGTCTTCACTCAGGCCTGGCATCTGGCACTCTCCACAGGTGAAGCAGCGGGAGAATGGCGTGGCGCTGAGGTGCTTCCCCGGGGTCGTGCGCTCCCTGGACGCGCTGGGCTGGGAGGAACGGCAGCTGGCGCTGGTGAAAGGCCTCCTGGCGGGGAATGTCTTCGACTGGGGGGCCAAAGCCGTGTCTGCGTAGGTGTCTGCGGGCTCGGAGCAGGCTCTGCAGCCTGTGGGTGCCTGTCCTGCCCCAGGCTTGCGGGCAAGGAGGTGGAGCGGGTCCCTTGGGGGTCACGTGGCGCTTGGTGGCTTGGTGGCTCAGGGCTTTGGGGCCCAGGGAGTGCACATGGCAGCAGCGCCAGGGGCTGGGCAGGGCGCAGCGCCCTTGTCTGTCCCCTCAGGTTCTGAGGAGGCCCCTTCCTTAAGCATGGGTGCCGCAGAGGCCTAAGGGTGTGGATTTGAAAATCGGGGCTGGCATTTTCTATTGTCAGAATCCAAATTCATGTTTCCTATGTGTGGTAGGAATTAAACATTTCTGATGTGATGATCAAAGGGTGCTTTGCAAAGCAGTCCCCTAGACTGGCCTGTAGGACACGCAGGTGTCTAGCACCTGGCGCCGTCTCCTGGGGCTCTGAATCTTGAAAATGAACCCCCCCACCATCATTTACCTTCACTCCCAAAGAAGCTGCTTCCAGTCTCTGGGCCTCCCCAGGCGGCCGCACCACCTCTCGTGGTCCCTGCTTTTTTTCATGTGGGGCTGGAGGGAAATGCCTGGGTTCTCAGCCCTCCCTGGGTCCCACTCGTGTCTCGAGACATAGATGAGAACGCCGCCTCCAACCATGGCTGCCCCTCTGGGACACAGGCCCCTCCCGCAGCCTGTCAGGAGCATTGGAGGAGGGTCCTGACCCATGGGATTGGCCTTGTGGCTGGGGGCTCCCCACACCGCCTGCATGGGTGCCAAGCACAGGGACCATACTGCGGCTGCCAGTCACCGAGAGGCTTCCCTGGCCCCGTGGCTCCGAGTCCACCTTGAGAAACAGCCTGTGCTCTCTCAGACCTTTGCTTGGTGGCCCCCTGAGCCTTCTGCGGATCGCAGCATGTTAAGAACGCTGTATCTGTTCTGCCTGGGAGTGATTTGGGGTCTTCACGTTGAGCAGCTGCCTCTGTCCCACCTGGGAGGGATTTGGGGTCTTAGCAGCTGCCTCTGTCCTGCCTGGGAGTGATTTGGGGTCTTCACGTTGAGCAGCTGCCCCTGTCCCACCTGGGAGGGATTTGGGATCTTTACATTGAGCAGCTGCCTCTGTCCCGCCTGGGAGGGATTTGGGGTCTTCACATTGAGCACTGTGGCTGAAGGTTTTTGTTCTGTTGTCTTAATTTTCTTTTCTCCTCCTCCATGCAGTGTCCTTGAATCCGACCCCTACTTTGGGTTTGAAGAAGCAAAGAGGAAGTTACAAGGTACGGATGGCCAAGTAACTTGGGGCCTTGCCTTGTGCTGGGGCCATGCCTGGACGTTCTCTGCAACAGCGAATGCAGTTGCGGTCGGGGTCCAGGCACCTCCCCTGCTCAAGGCTCTGTCAGCTGGGCTTCGGGGGCGGGGAGAACTTGCTTCCTGGAGAGACGAACACCTGAAGACGCGTCTCCCTGACCCCTGACCTGGAGCACCGGGCTAATCATGTGTCCCTCTCTCTGTCTCAGAAAGACCCTGGCTCGTGGATTCCTACAGCGAGTGGCTTCAGAGATTAAAGGTATGTGGAGGGGCCTCCCACCTCTGCTGCTGGGGACACAGCGGGGCCCGGGGGGGTGGTCACTGGAGGGAGGTGGGCATGGGCTGCCTCGGGTGGCCCTCCCCTCCTGTTAGAGTCTCACCATCCTGCGAGCCAAGGGTCTCAGCATCCCCTGCCCCACACTTGCCCTCCTGTCGTGACTGCTTCTTAGGTCACCTGCTCTAGGCACAAAGCCTTGCCAGAAGAGACAGGCACTGGCCCCTGCAGGCCAATCCGTCCCTGGCGCCTCTGGGGTCCTGAAGCCCCAGTCTCAGCCCCTGCAGGCTGGCCCGTCCCGGTGCCTCTGGGGTCCTGAAGTCCCGGTCTCAGCCCCTGCAGCCCAGCCCAGTCCCGGCACCTCTGGGGCCCTGAAGCCCCTGGTCTCGGCCCCTGCAGGACAGCCCATCCCTGGCATCTCTGGGGCCCTGAAGCCCCCAGTCTCGGCCCCTGCAGGGCAGCGTGACGGGCAGCAGGGGTGCGGACTGACTCGCTTGGATGCGCCTGTTCCCAACTGAACGTCCTGGTTTTGTCTTACAGGGGCCCCCTCATAAATGTGCCTTAATTTTCGCAGATAACAGTGGAATAGACATCATTTTGGGAGTCTTCCCCTTTGTCAGGGAGCTACTCCTTAGAGGGACAGAGGTGAGTGTTGAGGTGGTGGGTGGGGCCCTTCCCCTGGGCTTCTCTGCTCTCGGTGGGGTTGGCGCCGCTGTGGGCCTCTGGCGGTGGTCGGGGCTCCTCCGGACGCAGCAGGTAGGTGCAGGCAGCAGCACGGGGGAGGCGGCCCAGAGCCGTCATCTGCTGGGGTGGAGGCTCCGAGCCCCCTGGGCTCAGGCTGAGGGTCCATGTGCTGAAGCCCAGGGTTGACGCCAGGCTCCTGGAAGGGTGCTCACAGCAAGGAGGCTTTGGGGCTGTGACTTCACAGACAGGCAGGTCCCAGGGGCAGGCTCTAAACTCAGCTCTGCCCCTCGGCTCAGCTCCCTCCCAGGGGCCACAGAGTGGCAAGGTCAGGCGAGGTCCCTGCTCCTCAGCAGCAGGTGGCTGGCCAGGCCCGCTGGGCACAGCACCCTCACCCAGCCCAGCCACTCGAAGGCCGGGGTGCACGCAGGCTCCATGCTGGGCCAGCACAGGTTCCTAAAGAGCCTGGGCCCTCCTCCTGCAGGTCATCCTGGCGTGCAACTCAGGCCCCGCCCTGAACGACGTGACCCACAGCGAGTCCCTCATCGTGGCAGAGCGTATTGCGGGCATGGACCCTGTCGTGCAGTGAGTGTTGGCGGGCAGTGCTGGGGGGGCCTTGATGGGGAGGGGCACCAGCTGGGCAGAGTGGGCCATGGGGATTGTCACTGAACTGGGAGCTCCTGGGGGCACTGACCACCTTGTATCTGGCAGCTCTGCGCTCCAGGAAGAGAGGCTGCTGCTGGTGCAGACGGGCTCCAGCTCCCCGTGCCTCGACCTCAGGTAACCCCGCACCCTGCACCTGTTCTCTCCCTCCTGGGCTCTGTGCCCTCTGTGCCGTGCACCTGCACCCAGGTGCATGCGGGACACCGACCTCAGGACTGCCCCTGCGGCCTCTCCTGACCCCAGGCCCGGATTGATCTCAGGAGGGGACAGATATGCCATCCCCGAAGGTGGCCTGGGGAGGGTGAATGGATTCAGGGTCTGAGGTGGTTACACATGGGCTGGGTTTGGGGACTTGGGGCAAGAGGGGCCAATGTCCCTGTGGCCACTCAGCTGAGACCGAGGGCGACCTGGGCAGCTGCCCGGTGTCTGTCACCTCCGTGTCCCACATAGATGCCAGGCTCTGCTTCTGTGGTTCTGGAGGTCATTAGTCAATTGTATGTGGTGCTGTCTGTCCTCCTGATTGCAGAGGAGGAAGGAACCCCTTAAATGAGCGGGTTCTGAGTGCTGGGGCCGCTGGTCTGCTCTGCCTGGTGGGATTCTCCAGTGCTGGCTTCATCTGTGCCCCAGCCCCACTCTCACCAACAAGGAGGGCGTGAAAATGACAAGGAATCCATCCCTAGAGTTCACAGGAGATCTAGGGCAGAGTTTCCAAGCTGCAGCTGCTCTGGCCCTGTGTGAGCTGCTGCTCTGAGGAAGCCCCAGGCTGAGGCAGCTACCAGGCGGAGGCTGGGTTTGGAGGCCTCCACATCAGGGAATTGAGCGGTAGGGGTTTCAGCCTTCACGTTGGTCGCCGCACTGTATGGGAAGTGGGGTCTGGGGTCTGCTTGCCCAGTCTCACCGTCCTCTTCCTCCCCAAAGCCGCCTGGATAAGGGGCTGGCCGCACTGGTGCGGGAGCGTGGCGCGGATCTGGTGGTCATCGAGGGCATGGGCCGTGCTGTCCACACAAACTACCACGCAGCCCTGCGCTGCGAGAGCCTCAAGCTGGCCGTCATCAAGAACGCGTGGCTGGCCGAGCGGCTGGGCGGCCGGCTCTTCAGCGTCATCTTCAAGTACGAGGTCCCAGCCGAGTGAGGCGCTGCAGCTGCCGGACTCTTCTGCTTGTCACTTGTCAGGAATGTGTTTTTACCACCACAGGGAAACTGCGTTCAAATCAACGTATTTATATGGTACTGCTGTGACGCGGCACATACACCCCAGCCGCACAGATGCGTGTGACCCAGAGGCGAGACGCAGCTTTGTCCTGGGAGACGTTCATATTGGAATCTATTTAACTGCTAAAGAACCTTTTATATATATATATATATAAATAGAGAGATCTATACAGGTATGTCTGACGGGACGCAGCACCGTGGGCACGCACCAAATAGAGTTTTTAAAAGAGGCCGGAGCCATCTGCGATGTTTTATTTCGGAGCAGGGGCCCCTCCCGACTCCTCCCATGGGGGGAGCCCAGAGCGGGAGCCCTTCCCTGCGCTGCTTCTAGACCTTGTAGGCAACGAGTGCCAGCCGCCCCGCAGACCCCATGGCCCCGGGCCCCTGCGTCTCTCACCGCTCCCTCCGGGCCAGAAGAACCAACTCAGCCACCCTCGTCCCTCCAGCGCCCTCCCCCTGCACCTGCGGGATGTGTGGGTGCTGAGCAGCAATTCCTGACTCGAGAGCCTGGGAAAGGAGCCCTCGACATCGATCACCCTCAAGGGCTCTCAGGCAGCCAGGGGCCGACGTGGACCCTGCTAGGAACTGTGTGGACCGCGTGGGTTTGGTTGCTATGGCCTTGGGACCAGGCTCCCTGGGGCCGTGTTCTGTGGCTAGGGTGGGCATGGCTGGGGGGAGCTGGCAGCAGGGAGGCCCGCTGGGCCTGGCCCCTGGGAGCTCTGAGGCGCCTGGGGGTCCTCCCCCTCAGCCCAGGTGTGGGATTGAGACCACACATAGCATCGTAGAGAGGGCAGGAGGGCACAGGGCTTGCGGAGGCCCTGCTGGGGTGGGCTGGCTGCAGGCCCCCAGCTTTGACTTCATGTGGTGGGAGCTGTTCCTGGTGCTGAGCTGCTGGGCAGGCCCTGAGGAGGCTGAGCTGCTACCTTGCCCCACCACCCCCACCCCCGCTGGGGTCCCCCACATCCAGAGGCTTCACTGAGACCCCCAAGCACAGGCTGTCCTAGGCCAAGGAGGTGGGGTGGCATGGATCACCTTCCAGACAGCTTTGCTTGGTGGTCTGGAACCTGCAGAGGCTAAGACCCCTCCCTCATGGAGACCTGGCCTGCCCAGAGGTGCCCAGTGGCCATTTCTGGCCCCCACTGTGGTGTCTCTTCGTGACCTGCCCTTGGAGTCTGCGTGGAACCTGAGTCCCAGCCCTCGTGCAGCGGCCACCAAAGGGTCTCGTGTCCTGGCAGAGGAGCCCGGGGGCAGCTGGGCTATCCTGAGGTGGACTGTCCCCCTGGCTCCAGCTTCTCCCTCCTGTGGGTCCCCAGGGCAGAGGCCCAGCCCCCGGAACCCCATGGGCCCTCACCACTTTCCGGCCCTCTCCTCAGGCCCGGCTCTCTGATGGGGAAGCCCTCCCAGCCTGCATCTCTGTAGCCTTCCCTGACCCCACTCGGCCCCTCCAGCTCTTGCTCCCATCCTGGCCCCACCCTCACTGGTGGTGGGTGGCAGCAGTGGCCTGGCCGCTCTGGGCACCCGGATGTGTGACTGCCTGGCCTGACACCCACAGGGCTTGACCCCGGGGTTGGAGAGTCCATCTGTGCTGGGGACGCACCCACTACAGAGGTTTGGCCTGAGCCTGGCCCAGACAGGATGCCGAGGAGGAGGTGGGGGATGCACAGAGGCCTGGAAGGACAGAGCCAGGACAAAGACACCAGGGCCTAGCCCAGGCTCAGCCCCTGCACACCCCCATGCAGGGCCTGCCGGTGGCCACGGCCTCAGCTCCCCTCTTGCACAAGGGGCCACCCAGCCTATGAGCCAGGCACCCCTGTGCCTCCGGGCAACCCCAGCCTCTGTGACCCCAGCCCTTCCCCAGCCCTTTCCCAGCCCTTCCCCAGCCCTTTCCCGCCGAAGCCGGAGCTGGAGCAGGAGGGCTCTGGCCTCTGCCTTGTTCCCTTGATGTGGCCATTTCAACGGCGCTTTCCTCAAAACACGAGCTGGCCCCAGGCCCTCAGCCCCTCCTTGACTCCCGCAGACCCCCAGCTGGCTCCCCAACCTCTGCCCTGCCCACGGCACCACTTGGGGGCTCGCCAGGAGGCCTCGGTCACCAGGCTGCTGTCAGTGTCACTGCCGGGGGCTCTGTGAGTCCCCTGTCCCAGAGCTGAGACTCCTCAGGTTCAGGTGCCGCCCCGGGCCCCAGGCAACCAGCTCACCACACCCCTGCTCTCGGTGGGGCTGCAGCTGCCCACACGCAAGTGTTCTGGGGCTCGAGGATGACGAAGTCCTGCCAGGCTCTCTCTGAGGGGCGTGGTGGGGCTGGGGGAAGGGCGGCACCAGTGGCCCCTCTGCCTGGCTGAGCTGGGGAAGTGGTGACAGCGATTCCTGTGGCCGCCCACAATCCCTGTCAGTGCAGGAACATGGTGAGGGCAGAACAGCCCCCTTAGAGCTCCCCCAGCACCCCAGGATCCCGGCCTCCGGGCCTCAGGCCCGCCTTCCCAAGGGCCCTGCCTGGGCACAACGCAGCCAGGGGTGAGACGGGATACCCCGACAGAGCAGTGCTCATCCGGGTGGTGCGCCGGGCAGGCCCCTTGGGCAGCCGCAGGTGACAGAGCCTCATGGGGCAGGACATCCCCTGACTCCCCTGGCCACAGGGTGGGCCACACCCACTCCCACTGTTGGGGCAGCAGAGGACGGGCTGCAGCACAGGCTTCCAGAGGCCCGACCAGCACCCCAGCTTCTCTAGGGTAGGGGCCTTTCTGGAACCACCATGCTCTGCAGGCAGAGCAGTCCCCCGGGTTGGGGGGCCTGTGGCCCGGGGTTAGGGCCTGCGTCCTGAGGAGCAGGCTTTGCAGCCTACCCTGGGAGCCTGTCCAGCTCAGCCCTCTGAGGACAGGCCAGGTCTTTTCTTGGGGTGTCTTCTGGGCCTGGCGCAGGCTCCGACGGGCACCTGGTAAGTAAGTGGCACAGGAGGCTGAGCGAACGGGAAGCCCATGCGTGCTGGTGAGCACGTTTATCAGAACCACGTTTGGGAGTTGACAGAGGCTTAGGCATGGTGCAGAGGGTGGCGTGGTCGGTGCAAGGCAGATACAGGCTTCAGGGCAAGGCCCAGACGGCCGTCCTGAGCAGCCCTGGTGCCTCACAAGCACCCCCGCCTGTGCCGTGGCCAGGTCAGCCGCGCCTCCCGGGGCAGGCTCAGGACAGGTGCGCACAGATGCACACCACACACACCTGGGGTGAAAAACCAGGTAAAAATGGAAAGGGACTTGGTATCATTTTAATGTTGTATAAGTTTTGCTTCTAAAAATTTAAATATTTCTCTATGTACAGATCCTAAAACGCCGGGAAAACTGCCTGGCAGGGCCAGCCTCGAAGCCCCTCCTGTGGGCCCCGGGCCAGCAGCTTTAGCCTTTCCTCCCCGGGAGCAGGGGCAGGAGGGAGGCAGGGGTGGAGGGGACACAGGGCAGCCAGGGGGACACAGTTTTGGGGGCCTGGCTGCCCTGTTTCCTGAGCAAACAACACGCCCACCCCTGCCCTGGGCCTCCAGAGCCGCCCAGGTTCCCACCACTGACGGTCAGAGGCGGAGCAGGACCAGGTTTTCAGCAGCCGCGGATGCTGGCCCGAGGGCTCCCTTGGAGGGTGCTGGTGCATCCACACTGCCCTCGTGGCCCACGGAGCAGGCGCCCTCGGGGGTGCCCCGCTCCTCTTCTGGGGGTCCCTGCCGGCCCAGGCCCTGCAGTCTCTGCTGCCGCTCCTGGGCCTGGCGGGCCCGGCTGGCAATGGCACGCACGCGGCTGTGGCTGCGGGAGGAGGAGCGCCGCACAAAACCAGGGCCCCCTGCCACCCCCTCCCCAGCCGGGCCCAGGCTGGTGGGTGACGTGATGTCTCCTGCCTGCTGGAAGACAGTGAGCCAGCGCAGCTGCTCTGTCAGGGTGTCCCGTCTCACCCCTGGCCCCGACACCCGCCGTGTCCCTCCCGGGAGGCCCAGGCTGTGGCTCAGTCTGCGGGAGCCGCCCTCAAAGCTAGGGGCAAAGTCATCAGCAGTGAGGTCGCCCAGGCTCTTGGACTTGGCAGCCACGGGGCAGTCCTGCACGCCCACCAGGGAAAGGCAGCCCCAGGGAGGCCGGAAGGGGAGGCCAGCCATCCTTGGGGCCAGGGACCTGGGCTGCAGTTCGTCAGGTATGGGAGGCCGCTGGCCTGTAGCCCGAAGGTTGGGGTTGGATTTGCTCTTGGTCACAGGTGGCAGGTCTGGGCGGGCAGCCGAAGCCGAGTGGGGCCTGGGGGGCAGGCGTCCCATGTGGGCTCCAGCGAGGTTCTCACGGCTGCGGCCCAGGCCCAGGCTGGGCAGGGAGAGGTCAATGACAGTGTCGCTGGATGACATGCTGGAGGAGGAGGAAACGCTGTCTCGGTGGCCACATGGCTCCAGCCGCTGCCACAGCGGGTCACTGCCCGTGGCATCGGAGTACACGGCAGGAGCTGGAAAGGGAGCGGCCAGGGGCCGCCACCCTCCCAGGGGCTCCGTGGGCACCTGCCCCTCACTCTTCACCCTTCTAATCACGGGCAGGTGGCCCAGGGTCCGGGGCTGGCTCCTGCCGTCCGTCTGGCTGCCGGGGGCCCTCTCGTATGCCCCGCCGGCGCCCTCGCCGTTGCACGGCCGAGGCCTGCTGTCTCGGGGCTCCTCAGTGTCCTCTAGGGGGCTTGCCACATTGGCTCCGGGTCCTGTGGGGTATGGGGGCCGTCCCTGAGAAGAGCTGGTGGGGACAGCCGCTGGTGGCGGGGGACCAGGGCCTGGGGCGGGCTCCTCAGCGATGGTTTCCAGGCTGCACAGTGGGGGGAGTGGCCGCTGCGTGGAGAGGGGGCGGGTGTCTGTGGGGAGGTGGGGGAGTGAGAGAGAGCCAGAGGGAGAAGCAGAAGAGAGAGAGGGAGGCAGGGAGAGAGGCGGAGAGGAGTCGGATCAGGGTGGTGTCCCCGGTGCCCTGTGCCGAGGGTCGCCAGGCCCAGCTCCCACCCCGAGGCATCCCCCGGGCGCGGCACACTCGGTGTCCCCACCCTGCTGCTGCTGGGGCCCAGTCCACGCCCTGTGCCGCACACGGGGCCCTCCTTGGGCTGGGACAGCACGGGACACCGGGGCTGGGCCCCGTTACCTGTCACTCGCCGCTCTCAGTTCCTAACTACGGAGGCAGCGTGGGTGGGGGCAGAAAGGAAAGCTTGGTCAGGGGGGTCTGGAGGGGCAGGGTGGTGTGGGGCGGGCTCCGTGTATGTCCCTCCCTCCAGGCTAAGGAGACACCCTTCTAGTGGGGTGCTTCAGCCCAAAGCAGCGAAGCCCTGGGGCCCAGGGAATCTACTCCACGCAGCACTCAGCAGGCTCCAGGCGTCCCAGGGGCGCAGGAGACGCCCAGCAGCTGCACTACCTGCCCACATCAGACTTCCCAGTAGGGACCCCTGGAGCCTGCCCTAGAGGGAGGTGGGAATGGGATGGTACGTGGCCCCCAGTCCCAGGAAAGGCATCAGGGGCCATGCAGGTCGCCAGCCGCCCAGGAGGTGAGTTTGGGGAAGCGCCCAGCCGGAGGGGCCCAGCATGTCAGGCCACAGTCCCGGCCCCAGACCCTCAGCAAGAGCAGCTGGTTCTTCCCAGCCTGTCGGGCCTCAAACCAGCTCCACCCAAGTCCCAGGGCCTCAAGCTCAGACAGGAGGGCTGGGGCTATGGGCCACAGGCAAGCCAAGGGAGCAGAGTGCCACGGAGACAGTGCCACGGATACAGAGCCACGAGCACGAGCACACGAGGCGACACCGTCCACGCAGAAGCAGCAGCAGGTGACCCAGGCCCAGCCATGCCAGGGGCGTGCGGGAGGACCACGCAGGGCAAGAGGGGCTTACCGGCGGAGAACATGGGGGATTTACTCCTGATCTCCTCCAGCTTTTGAGCAAACAAGGCACTCATCTCTCCCTGCAGGGCCCCCGGTTGCCTGCAGGCACCCTCAGGCCAGCGGGGGGACCTTTCGGGGATGCCCGGGCTGTCTGGGCTGCTGGAGTCCGAGGACATGGAGCCGCTACCGCCTGGACCCTGCCTCCAGGCCCCAGGACCCTTGGGGGCCTCTCTGCTTCTCCCCGGGATAGCGTGAGGGTCCAGGCCACAGCAGGGGGCCCCCAGTGAGTCAGCCCGGGCCCGGGGCTGCTGGCGAATGGCTGCCTGCCTGCTTGCAGGCCCCGGGCTGGGTGGCCGCTCCCTCTGCAGGCCCCCGGTGTTCACGCCGGCGCAGGATCCCACCACACACTTCATGCATGTGGCGGCCATCCCAGCAGGCCCGGGGCCGTCCAGGACACGCGGGGGCCGCACTCGCACAGGGCTCTTCTCTGCCACCGCAGCTGGCGCCTTACCTCGGGGGCTGCCGCTGCCGGGCCCCTCCTGGGCTGGGGCTTCCGGAGCAGGTCCGGGCCCGGGGGGCACCACATCGTCTGCCACCCCCTTGGAGCCTGTGTCCCGTGTACCCAGGACCAGCTCCGGGAAGCCCCTGCGGCCCGGCTTCTGGCTCTTGGTCGGGGCGCTGGCCGTGCGCCGCAGGATCCGCTGGCTAACGGAGGGCCGGGCCGGGGGCCGCCCAGCAGCATGACTGTCCAGCGAGCCGGGCTTTGGGCCTCGGAGGAAGAGGCCTTTTAGGCCCAGAGCCTGCTTGACCTGCAAGAGAAGGAGCCCATGTAGCTGTTGCCAGGGGTCCCAGCCCAGCTGCAGCTGCTCCCCCAGGGCCAGCTCTCCAGACCGTGCCACAGACGTGCCATGCGTGTCTCGGTCCGAGGGGCTGGGCCACCTCAGGCTGGGGGTGTGTGGACACACCAGGGCCTTCAGGAGCAGGGTCCCTAGGGCAGCTCTGCCTGGGACAGTAGCTGCTACAGATCTAAGTACACATGGCCCACCCCACCCTTCCGGCAGAAACTGCCCTCGCCTGACCTGTCCAGGGCATGTGGGGCCCTTGAGGGGCATGGAGAGAAGGTCTTTCCCTCCGGAGGAGAGACCTCGAGCCCCAGCCTGGCCCACCACAGCCTGCACCTGCTCAGAGGCCCGCAGCCCCCGGCGCTAGCAGGGGACACTGGCGTGGCACTCCCTGGTTGTGTGTGCCCCACCCTCAGGCAGGAGTAGCTGGTCCACAGCAGGAGTAGCCAGGTGCAGCGGGAGGCCCACTTGCCCGGCCCGTGTCCTGCCCACTCCCATGGTGATACTCGTGCCCTAGGAAGTACCACCTCTTCCAGGAAGCCTTCCTGAATTCCCCCAGGCAGCCTTTTCTGGTCTTGCCCTGCCCTCCACTCATGTGAGCCCCCAAGGCCCGCAGCTGGCTTGCTGCCCCCTGAGCCCTGCCAAGATGGGCTCAGACTCCCAGCCCACCAGCACCTGGCCACAGCCAATCTTCCTGGACAGCTGGGCCCAGGAGGTCCCTGCCTGGGCAGAACAGCTGCTGAGAGGGAGGCAGCCGCATCTCCAGGGCGCAGAGGCCAGAGGGGCCCTCACATGCCAGATGCCCCCGAGACAGCACCCACCGCGCCCCCATGACGAGCCGTGCTCGTGCACAGAGCGGCCCAGGCCCGGCAGGTGGGTCACCCCCCTGCAGGGGCGCCTCTGGGCAGATGCGTTCAGATGGCCAGCACTTGAATCAGCTTCCTGATTCAAGATCCCAAATCTACGCATTTGGTCACAGTGGCTGGGAAGCCATTTAGAAGCAGATCCGGGATTCTGGCTCGGAGCGCCGGCCTCAGGGGTGCCCTCATCCCATGCACTGGCATGGTTGGCAAGGACAGGGAGGGAGTGGGAGGCGAACTCAGAACCAACAGCCTGAGGGTCCGAGATGGGGGCAGGAGAGAGAAGGAGGGGGATAGGAGGGGCACAGTGGGGGCTCCAGCGGGCTGCCCGCCAGGGAAGGGGCTGAGGGAGGGGAGGGAGGACTGAGGGAGGGGAGGGAGGACTGAGGGAGGGGAGGGAGGACTGAGGGAGGGGAGGGAGGACTGAGGGAGGGGAGGGGAGGAGAGGCCAGTGAGAAGGCGGCCACCCAGCTGAACCCTGGATCTGCCTCGTAAATGCCACTATGGCTGGGGATGGCCAGGGCCCCCGGAGCCATGTCATGATCCACGTCACATGAGCGACAGTCTCCAAATGCTACCAGGAATCATGGATGCTAATGGGGTGCGGCCTGGGCATGCAGGGGCGGCGGGCCGCACTGTCCCGCGCACCGGGTACCTTCAAGGCTCCTAACAGAGCTGCACTTCTAAAAGTAGGCTGTGGCCATAGAGAAGCCGACTGCAAGACCAAAGAGACAGGGGGAGCAGGTGAGGCGGCCACAGCAGTGGCGTGGGGAGCCCTGCAGCCTGGGGGACGAGGAACAGATGGGTGGATAGACGGCAGGGGCTGGATGGCACCTCTGGGCCCGAGAGCATGGCAGGAGAGAGTCAGCACTGGGCCTGGGCAGGCCCCTCCTGCTGTGTGTGCGGGTTCCCCGAGGGCCAGCTGCAGCCAGCAGGACCCAGAGGGCACTGGGCCCCAGCTCAAAGCCAGGGCAGCAGGGCTGGCACCAAGACCACTTCCTGCGGAAGCCGAGGCCCCACCCTGACCTGGGGCAGGGGACAGACATGCTGGGTGTGGAGTCACAGGCAAACCCGGGCAGCTGCCTTCCACGTGACACCAGGAAGTAGAGGGGTGGGGGGTAGTAGAGGGGAGAGGGGCATCACTCGGTCCCTGCTGAGAAGCCAGATGGCAGCACTGTAGGGGTGGAGGCTGCAAGGCCCCCAAGAGTCTGAGACAGGCATGGGTGACACAGGGCGGGGCAAGGCCCGGAGCACTCAGGACCTGTCCTGCCCGAGATGCCCAAAGCCAGCCCTGAGATCAGAGGTGGGCACTGGTGGCTCAGGAGCCAGGCCCCCACAGCAGCCCCTCTTGAGATAGAGGAGCAGAGGCCCGGGGAGGGGACCCTAGGCCTCACTGCCTGAGTTCAGGACCCAGCACTGGGGACACATGGGGGGGCATGGGACAAGGGGCTGGTGTGGCCCCTCCCCATGATGGCTGGTGGCAGGGGGTGACACTCACCTTACCGCTGATGTCACTGACAGCCACATGCACGAAGATGGAGGCCTCTTCCATCCCTTCTAGGTACACGTGTCTGTAGCCTGGAGCAGTGTGGGTCAGCAGGGTCATGAGGTCACAGCCTCCCAGGGCCCCCACCTGCTCTGCCCCCCATTCTACTTAAAGGTCCCAAGACCCCAGATACACCCAACAAGCCCAGGCCTGGGGCCTCTGCCTCCTGTGGGCCCAGCACTACCCCACCTCCTCCAGGAAGCCCATTGGCATTGCACCAGCCTGCAGGGACCTCTTCCTGGGGGTGGCCCCTCCCCCACAGGCCATGCCCCTGCCTGACCCGCAGATCCCCAGGCTGGCTCTCCTCCCGTCCTCAGCTCCTGTCTCTTTGGTGCCAGGTGCAGGCCCACCTACACAGGCACTGACTCACAGGGGAAAGAGTACCTGCCCTGCCCTGGGGCCCTCGGCCAGTGTGGGGGGCACCGTGTCCACTCCTGCCCACCTGGCATCATGCTGCTGAAGGCCAGCGTCCTCTGGCCAATGAAGTCACGCCCGATGGGATCGTGGTCCCAGACGAGGAAGCGGACCAGCGCGATCTCCGGCATGTGCACCATGAAAACCAGGGTCTCCTCCCAGGTGGGGTTGAACCCTGGGGAAGCAGCGCCAGGAGGAGTGTCCCATGGGGAGGGCCCGGCCCAGCACCGCTCCAGCCTGGAGCCCCCGGCCCACACCACTCCCAGTGCCACTCCCGGTGCTGCTTCCGGGACTGCCCACCTAGAGGGGAGGGCGCCCAGGACTGTCACTGAGGGAGGCCTGGGCAGGGCACCCGGGCACACCAGGTAGCCCCAACCCTCCCCCCTCAGACTTCCATCACAGGTGTGACGGAGCCACGGCCCAGCCTCACCGTTGTCGTCCACCACGCGGGTCTGCTCCCTGCTGCAGTCCACAGGGAGCCCAATGATCTCCACCTCCACAAAGGGGTCGATGATCTGGGACACAGGAGTGGGGGTGGCATCAGGGCCCATCGCGATGCCCGGCCCGCCCCCAACTCCCACCCCTCCCGCCTGTGTGGGGCTGGCCCCCACCTCCCCACGGTCCCCCAGCATGGAGTCGCGCGGCTTGGGAAGCTGCTGGCCACTGATGATCCGGAGCACCAGCTGCTTCTTGAGCTGCCCGGGCAGGGGGTCCTCCGAGTTGGGGTTGAACACGCCTGAGGGGATGCCGGGGAGGTGGTCAGTGGCCCAGCCCTCAGCAAGCCCCCTGCTTGCTGGGGCATGGCTGCCAACAGCCCCCTCCCCAGCCCCCACATAGGAGACTGGAGCCGGTGCCAGGGGGAGGGAGGGAGGCAGTGGTCCAGGGGGGCACCTCGGGGTGCACCTGGCCCAGTATGGATCACCTTTGTGGCTACCGCAGCATGTGGGACAGAGCCCATGCCTCCCACAGCTGAGCCGAGGAGGTCACATGGCTTCTGGGGGTGGGTCTGGGTCCCTGGGGGTATGAGGGGTGGGGTCTCTGGTGACAGTGTCCCCAGGGCCCACTCAGGCTGAGAACTCTGAGGAGGGCAAGCCAAGGGCAGAGGTGGAAGTAGCTGGTCCACAGCAGGAGTAGCCTGGTCTAGTGGGAGGCCTGCTCGCCCAGCCCCTGTCCTGCCCTCTCCCATGGTGATACTCCTGCCAGGGCCACAGGGGGACCAAGCTGGAAGTCATCCACAGCAGACAAAACAGAGGTGTCTGAGAGCCGGGAGGAGGTTCCTCCAAACACCCAGCCCAGACCCAGGTCCTGAGACCCACAGAGGGGCCAGGCACAGGGGGCTGGGTCGCTGGCACTGGGGCCCCTCAGACAAGTCCTGCCATGAATCTCATGTGGGGCCCAGGCTCCCCAGTTCTCCATCCCTGGATTCCTGACGGAGCTGGGCCCTTCTTTGCAACGCTAGCAAGGAGGGTTCCCCCACCCACCTCCCCAGCATCCTGGGAGCTTCGTCCCAACCTGACCCTCCAGGGGACTCTGCCAAAGCCGCCCCCACCCCCTTGCTAGCCTGTGGGGCTCCGATCTCTGTTCTGGGGACACCCAGGAGGCCCATCCGAGCCCTGAGCGTCCGAGCCCTGAGTGTCCGAGTGCCTCACCCTGGCACATGCACCCAGGCTTGAGTACGTAGCCGCAGCCACCGTTGGCGCTGAACTTGGCTCGGTTCAGCTGCAGCATCCGCCCCTCTGACTGGTAGTTCAGGG
The DNA here is from genome assembly GCF_000001405.40 of Homo sapiens. Lineage (NCBI taxonomy): Eukaryota > Metazoa > Chordata > Mammalia > Primates > Hominidae > Homo > Homo sapiens. The sequence goes on along the minus strand of NT_187515.1, from coordinate 48,694 downwards.
CAACTGCGAGGGTGACACAAGGCTGCCCTGGTCAGCACCTGACCTTCCAGGTGTGTGCCCCGCCCACCCACCACCACACGCTAGCCTCCCCTGCACAGCTGCCGCGTATCTGCCGTCTGCCCCTCGTTCACCCAATGTGAATGGGACTCCAAGGTTCACACCTGTGCAGGACTGAGGCCAGCACATCCTGGAGGGACATCCCCGGAGCTGGCGCAGCCAGCCTCGCAGGCAGGTATCCCTGGGAGTAGGTGGACAGGCCTGCACCATCGCTCCCACATCCCCCACAAGGCCTGAAGGACCCTGCCCCAGTGCTAGCCTGGTGTCAGTGGCAGCCTGGTGTCGGCAGCATGCCACAGAGGTGTGGAGGCTCCAAGGGCAATAGAGCCCAGGACAGAACCGAGGCCCCAGCGGGTCCCCTGCTCGCCCCTTGGGCTTCAGGGACCGTCTGAGCCGAGCCCTCCCCACCACACCCAGCGCACCATGCCCGCACCCACCCATTTGGCAGCCGGCGTTCCAGAAGGGCTGCGGGTTGTAGTTGCTGGAGTCCACACGGTAGGAGGAGGGGTAGATGCGGGAGAGCTGCTGCTGGTTGAAGCGTAGGTACTGCGCCGGCTTCTGCTGCAGAATCTGGTGGGCCTTGGTCTCGCTGAAGGACGACACCTGCCAGCTGGACGCCGCTGTGGCGCCGGTGACCGGGCATCAGACTGCCAGTCCTCGACCTCGCCCGGCGCCCAGCAGCATAGCAGGGATGGGGGACAGGGAGGCCTCCGCCCGTGGCCCCAGGTCCCCGAGCCACTCACCCTCCATCTCTATGTCGTGGGTGGCCACGGACTTGGTGTACTTCACCAGGTCAGAGAGGGCCCGGGACAGCTTCATGGTCTTCTTCTGCCGGGTCGCCCTGTGGCAGGTGCAGGGGGTCAGAACCCCTCCCGTCCAGGGCCAGCCTGGCACCCAGCTCCGTGAGACGGGCTCCAGGGCTCGGGCAGCCTCATTAATTCACGCAGCAGGCCCCGAACCATCAGAGACGGACGCCAGACTGGGCCGCGGGCTGCGGAAACCTGAGTGCTGGGCAGGATGTGGGCTGGCTGGGAGCTACCAGCAGGTGCAAAGTCCCTAGGCACTGTGTGCAGTGGAGGATGACGTGGCCTGCCAAGCGTGGCAGGTGTGGGGGCTTCTGGAAGGTTCTGAGCAGGGGAGAGCTGGGCTCGGGGCCTGGGTCTGGCCTAGAATCGCTATGTGGAGAGGAGGCCAGGGTCCAAGGGGGCCTCCGTGTCGGCCGGGTGGCAGCGGCACACGTGGATCAGATGTGTGCTAAGGGCAGAGCCCGGCTGGCACGTGGGACGGGATGAGACAGGAGGGGGCTGTGCCCAGGCGAGGGGCACGGAGGAACCATTGGGGGATGGAAGTGAGGGGAGACGGCAATAGGAGGGAGTGGGCGGCACGGGGGGAGCCCAGGGTCCGGGAGGGGTGGGAGTTCCTTCTGGGCCTGTAGGTTTGAGACCTCAAAGAGACCCCAGACAGTGCTGAGGAAGGCCTCCGACACGGGGGCCTGGGCCTTGAATTCAGCCTGACTGGACGGGAAGAGGGGGAGCCACTTCATGGCAGGCATTTGTTGCCCCCTGGGGAGGGCATGAGGCTGGGGGCCTCATAAGAGGAGGCGGTGAGGACCGAGAGCCGACAGCCCGGCAGCATCCAGGGCTGTGGGGACCTGGGCCCTCCAGCCACCTGCTCAGCCGCCCCTGCCCCCACTGCCCACAGCCACCAGCCTGCCCTGCACACCACACTCCCTACCACTTCACTGCTTCCAGGGGCCAAGAAGGGGGTAGGTCCTGCCCTGCTCAGGGATGGTCCTGGTGGGGTCACCGCAGAGAAGGGCCCGGTTGGGCCAGGCTCCCAGGAGTGTGCGGGGCCTCCCCGTGGGGCAGGGCACCTACCCTCGGCTCTGGCCTCCCGGGGAGTCCTGACCCTCATCTCCCTCCTCCACGCTGGCCGCCTTCTTCAGCTTGCTGCCCTTCTTCTGTGCGGGGGGCAGAGGTGTGAGCTGTAGGGCCTCTGGCCCAGGCCAGGCCTTGGCGAAGGCTGGGGGGTTGGGGAGGGCCTATCCTCCGGGGTCCCCAGCGGCCCACGCAGCCTCCCATGTCCATCCCGCCTGGCTGGGCCTGCCAAAGCCTCCTCGGTGCCCTCTCGATCTGGGCTCTGGCAGACTCTCAGGGCAGCCACAAGGCACCTGAGCTTGGGGCGAGGGCCAGCGTGGGCCAGAGAAGGGATGTGAGCCAGCCAGGCACCTGTTCCCACCAGCTCCGAGCCCAGGCTTCTGGCCCAGTCCCTGGCACCTGCAACCGATAGCTCGGCCTGACTCAGAGGGGATCCTGTGAGCCAGGCTGGGAACCCTGGGGACTGGAGGAGACCCCCATCTGCTCTGGCTGGGGCAGGGCCCACTGGGGCACTGGGAGCAGGGAGGACACGGGGCACTGGGAGCAGGGAGGACACGGGGCACTGGGAGCAGGGAGGACACTGGGCCCAGACCGGGACCCTGGCCTGGGAGCTGCGCCGGACCTTGCGCCTGGAGAAGCTTCCCACGACGAGGCGGCCATTGCGTCTGCTGGCCCCGGCATCCTCCCCAGACTCCACGTCCTCTTCAGCCTTGCTCTGAGTCCAGGGGAGAGACAGGGACAAGGTGAGTCTAGCCTTGAACCAGGCAGGGAGGCCGGGACAGCCCCTGGTGGTCCCAGAAGGCCTTCCTGGAAGAGGTGGGCTTGAGCCAGGTCTGGAGTAAGGCAGACGGGAGGGGAGGGCAGGGCGGGGACAGGTTGGGGAGCCCCCGTGGCAGCCGTTCCCAGTCCACCCTGGGGCAGAGGCAGCTGCCGAGGAGAAGCGGCCTGAAAGTCAGGCCCCGGTGGAAACATTCGCTCACACCTGCCTCAGCGTCTCTCATGTGTTGTTTTAAACTCGTTAAGTTCTGAATCCTTTTTTCCCACCAGTGGTGACTACGTAATAACTGCGTTTGTGTGCCTGGAATACTGCTCGGCCAGGCCTGCTTGCGCAACCCTTTTACGAGCATTCCACGGCCCTGACCTGTTCCCGCAGTGCGCGGGTATCCCTAATCAGACACACGGCTCCAGGTGGGCACTCCCTGAGGCGGGTTCTGAGCTGGGGAACCCCAGGAAACCACTGTGAGCCTTCCTACCGCTGTATAAGTAGCAGACACATCCAGGGCTACCCTGCCTGCCCCCCGCCGAACCCAGGGCTGCCTCACGAGCTGCTCATTCACCCCAAAGCTCATTCCCAATGGAACCAGCAGAGCCTGTGCCACCACCTGACCCCTGCAGCCCCTCCCACAGACACCTCCAAAACATGGCCCAGCTGTGCTCAGGAGGGGCTCCCATACCACATCCTGTCCCCCACCAAGGGTGGGGGCTACTTTCTTTGAAACACAGCAAAGCCGTGGGCCTGCAGCAGCGGTCCCTGTTAGGAGGGGGCTTCCGCCAGAAGCGGACACATCACCCACCCGTGGCCATGCCCCTGTACACGCCCACCCCTCTGCACACACCCCTGCAACACCCACAGCACGCCCCTGCACACACACCCTCCCACACCCCTGGATGCTCCCACACTGCTGCAAAGAGGCCACTGTAGCTCTCATGACCACAGACACTCGGCGCTCAGCCACGCCACAGCAAACAGCTCCGACTGCTGCCCGCTCTCCCCAGCCTGGACCTGGGCCTGCCTGGACACTGCCTCGCTGGACGCGTTGGAAATCAGGGCACGTCGCGTCCGCAGGCCCCATGCCAGACGGGCCTCTCAGTCCTGTTGATGCGGCCGGGGAGCTCCCGCCAGCCTCCCTGTGCTCTGGGTACCACGGCCCAGAGGTGTGCCCTGCCCCTCCTTCACCCTCATAGGGAGCCAGGATGGGATTGGACGGCCCTCCCCACGGCCCAGAGTGGCCAAGGGGCCTTCCCGTCACCAGGCTGCACTGGCTGGAGCCCGAGGCCCCACGTGCACTGCAGCAGGAGGCTCCCAGGTTGTCCAGGTCCACATGGCTCTCAGACATGCTCGTCTCTCTCCACCTCCAGAAAAGCCAGCCCCGGTTTCCTCTGAATTTATTGGTGCCACGGCTGCCGGGAGAGGCGCTAGGAGCCAGACTGACAGTGCGCCTGGAGCCGGTCGGGGCCACCACACTTCACAGCTCCTTAAACATCCCCAAAATGCTGCAGTGACCCAGAGCCACGAGCGACTGTAAATCCAGGCATGACCGAGGAGAGGCACGCGCTGACCCAGGAGACGGACGGCCAGACACAGCCCGTACTGCACGGCCAGACCCGTTGTCACCCCTGGGACTCCCAAACAGAGGAGACAGCAAGACCCAACTATGCTCCAAGGGGCTGCAGGCAGCAGAAGGCCCAGGTGAGGGGGCCTGGATGGTGGTGGAGGGTCTCAGCCAGCAGCAGGCCCCCCAGCCCTGCCTCTGTCAGGGAGGCTGGGTTCTGGGCCCCGAGGGGGTGCTCAGGGAAGGGTCCTCACGGGGCAAGGCTGTTGGCTGCACAAGCACTCACCGGGTTGTGCTCAGCTTTCTGGGGGTGGGGCCCCTCCTTACCCACCGGCTTCTCTCCCCAAGATACCCATTCCTGCTGCCCCCGGGCCTCAGGGACTCGTGAGTAGAGGTCTCACGTCCTCAAGGTTCATGGGCAGAGGGGACACCGGCTACCCCAGGGGGACAGAGAGGCACAAGTGTCCCTCAGTGGGATTTGCCATCCCCACGACCCCCAGTGCACAGACACCCCCTTTACCTGGGCCACGCCCTCCGTGAGCTCCAGGGCTGAACGCGTCCCGGCCTGGCCTTGGGATCAGCTCCGCCCCTCGCCTGTACCAAAGACTCTGAGACCCTTCTGGGGTGTGTGTCCACACCAGGCAAGGAGTGCATCTCATCAGGGGGGATTCCCGCTCCTCCCCCAACCTTCGTGGCTGTGCCTGAGCCCCTCCTCCTCCTGCAGGAAGCCTTCCCTGAGCACAGAACCCCCAGCAGCCGCTCAGACCTGAGGTCTGCAGGGGACCACTCTCCTGGACCCGCAGATGCATCTCCAGGTTTTGCACAGGCCCAGCTGGCTGCCCAGCAGAGCCACAGATGGCCACTCTCCCCCACCTAGACACCTTGGGATAAAAATAAAGGAACGCCTCTCAGCTCGGGCCCTGCAAGAGCCACCTGCACAGGGCATGTTCCTCGAGCTCTCCTGCGGTGTCAGCTGTGCCGAGTGCTCCGAGGCCCGTGGGCGGAAACGCAAACACCTGAGTCTAAAAATACTGGTCCTGGAAGGGGACACAGCACCCTCACTTGGCCAGGGAGAAGTCACCTTCCCACCCTCCCCAAGGGTTAGGAAAAGAGCAAGGTCCCTGCAGGGACAGGCAGAACGAGCCGGTGCCACAGGGCACGGTAGGGCTCTCCAGGCACCAGGAGACCGTGTCCCCAGCATGGGCGCCCACCAGCACTGTCACCCTGTGGAGGGTCTGTAGGGCCCACCCACGCTCCCCACTCTGCCCCACCCGCAGCAGGACTGCGGGATCTGCCGGCCACAGCTCCTGGCTCCTTCGAGGTCTGCAAGGAGGCTCTGTGCACCAGGAGACCGTGTCCCCAGCACAGGCGCCCACCAGCACTGTCACCCTGTGGAGGGTCTGTAGGGCCCACCCACGCTCCCCACTCTGTCCCACCCACAGCAGGACTGCGGGATCCACCGGCCACAGCTCCTGGTTCCTTCAAGGTCTACAAGGAGGCTCTGTGACCGCAGGACCCGGCCCACCCTGCCTGTCACCTCTCACCCCACACACACTCCATTGTGTCTGCCATGACAGCCCCTGAGGGCCATTCGCTCCATGTGGAAACTTCCCCACGTGGCCACAGGCAGCTCTAGGCAGGGGCGCTGGGCAGGGAAGGCAATCATGTCCCCCCAGCTGGGCAGCTCTCAACGACTGGCTGGGCTTTGAGACCCCGCTGGTAGGTGGGTATGGATCATGCAGGTGTGTGCGGAGGTGTGTACAGAGGTATGCTTGTGTGCAGATTTGTGTGTGCACAGGTGTGAGTGCGCACAGAGCATACGTTCGGGGGCCCTGGCTGGCCCACAGGCTGGCTGTCGGGGGGGCCTGTCGGCATCAGGGGTGTCACCTTTTTGGCCTCTACCTTGCGTCCGAGCTTTCCAGATGGGGACAGTGTGGAGACGGAGAAGTTGTTGGGGTCCTCACAGTCCCGAATCTTCGACTCTTTGATGAGGGAATCCAGTTTCCTCTTAGCAGTGTTTTCTACACGCTTTCGATTGGTGGATGCCTGCAGGAGCCAGAGGCCGGCCTGTTGGCATCTGTCCCGAGCCCTGCGAGTAGTGGCAATGACAACCCCCAGGGTCACAGCACTCTGCCCACCCCAGGCTCAGGGAAGGCGTGTGATTCACCTCAGGGCCTGCAGGCAGCCACAGGCAGGACGGGAACCCAGGCCCACCCGACTCCTCCAGCAGCACGAGTCTGCCCAGCGGCCCCCAGCAGAGCCTGTGCGGCTTCTGGCCCTGTGGCCTGGGAGGTCAGTGCGCCAGCAGGCGGCACAGGGTCTGGAGTCCCACCACTGGCCACCATGTGCCTCAGGAGATGGCAGGGCCAGGGGCAGACTTCAGGGCAGCCTCTGAGCTGGGTTGGACGCCCTTCCCTGCCAGTGCAGCCCCCCGGGTGCCCCTGATGAACTTGGAATCCTTGAGGACAGGGTCTGGGACTTGGGTGTCAGACGCCCCTGGTGCCAGGTTGGAGTGGGCACAAAGCCAGGAGCACCGTGGAGCTGCCTTTGCCATCACGTGGGCCACACAGAGGCGTGTGCCGCACATCCCAGGCAGGAAGAGTGCTGCTGCCTCAGGAGTTTCTAAAATGGTTGGCCGCGTGGCCAGGAGCACGCTGCACAATTATCTCCCCATGCATGGCCCCTCTGGAAGCAACGGCCTTCCCTGCCTCACAGCAGCGGCCCCAGAGCAGTGTCCAGAGGAGAGGAGATCGGCGCCCCCGAGCCCAACACCTCACAGGACCCTCCCATCTCTGCAGCCCCCCACCCTGGCCCTGGCGGGGACACAGTGACAGCGCTCTGTGGAGGTGACTGCTGGTGGGACCCCCATATCAGAGTTGACCTTAGAGATGGCACTGCTTGGAGATGAGGCCAGCACTGGCCACGGGGGTGGCTGGGCAGTACTACCAGCCACCCAGCGTCCAGCCAGACTTGGTGAGGAAAAGGGCGGGAAGCTGGGAAATCCTGTGCCAGGGCCTGGGTGGGCCAGGTGCTGGTGGGAATGGGGTGGAGTCTGGCGTGGGACCCAGCCCCCAGTGCTGCCCCCACTTACTGAGGGGCCAAGAGGACAGGGCAGGGGGAGTGGATGGTACCCCAAGAGTCAGCTCAAATGTGGGAGCTGAAACTGGGAAGAGGCAGGCCTGCAGCTCTCATGCAGAGGGGTGGGTGGGCAGGGAGGACCCCCCAGGCCCCAGGCCGCTGTGCGAATCTGCCCCAATGTCCCTCTCTCCCGGATGCCTCCCTTTCTAACTCGCCCCAACAGCAAGGACGGACAGCTGTTCTTGGGAACTGCAGGCTCCACGCGCCCCCCTCCACCTCCAGCCCGACTCACATCCCCATTGAGGAGCTTGCAGTCATCGTCAATCTCATCAGCACTGTCCTCATCAGACACCTCGCCTTCCTCCGCATCCTCGCTGATGTTGGCTGGGAGCTTCTTCCCCTGGGGGAGGAGGTGCATGATGGGAGGGGCCCTGGAGAAAATGCTGGGAAGCCAGTACCTGGCACCCACAAAGAGCCGCCGGCCAAGGAGAGGGGCCTTTTCTCAAGCTCAGTTTTGGCATCTCAGCCATGGGGCAGGGGCCAGACTGGCCAGCTCCCTGTGGCTGCAGCAGCGTGAAGGGAAAGGCCTGGATGTGCATGAGGGGCCTGAGCCAGAGTGACCACCATGGGGAGATGGAGGCCAGGTCAGGAGCGTGGCCAGCCCTCAGCCCCCTAGATATGCCCATGGATGGCATGATGCCCCTGCCTGTCTGGAGCAGGGCACTGCTGCAGGCCCGAGACTCTGTGTGAGCTGGTCCCAGGAGGGCAGGGGCTCACTCACCTTCACGAGGATCTTGCCCTTGAGCATCTGTGGAGAGGGGAGTGTGGTGGCATCTTCACTGCTCACTGATGACAGGTCCAGCTTGTCCCCAAGGATGTCAGTCAGATACTGGGCCATTTTCTTCTGCTGGATGACACTGCAGTGGTTTTCGATGGACAGGATCACTGGGTACCTGTGGCCCCAAGGCAGAAAGAGCAGGATGAGGCCAGGGCCTCAGAGGATGGGTAAGCCCCACCTCTGCAAGATCCCAGGTCATCTAAACCATTGAATGAGGAGGGGTCTTCACCAGGAACCCAGGATAGCTGGGATTACCAGCAGCTCTGGGAGGTGGCCCACCCGTCAATGGCTTTGAAAAGCAACAGAGTGGATGGGAAAGGAGCTGGGAGAATCTTAGGGACTGGTAAAGAGAGCATGAGCTGCTTTCCCCAATAAGAAAAAAAACAAAGGCAATGAGAAACTCCAGGAAAACAAAAGGAACGTTTGAAAAAGTCATGGTTTTAAAATGATGTGGACAAAACCAAGGTACAGTGTGGAGCTATAGATAGGCTGGGAAATAGAATCCTTTTGACCTAGATACTGGGGACCCTGTCCTCTGAATGGCCCTGGGGTCCTGACATTGGTCCCATAAAGAAGGAGACATAAGCCTGGCACACACCATCTGGTGGAACATGGTTATTACCTGCACAGTGCAGAATGGGGAGTATAGCAGGGACTTTTAATTATAAGCTTTTCAGCTTCATTTTTAACCATGTGTATGTTTTACTTGGATTTTTACCAAAAGGCAGCCATGATTCTTTCAGAAAATGTAAGTGACCCAGAGCAAGAGGGCATGAACCAGGGCAAGAGATGAGCAAGTCCTGTGATGTGGAGTGGGCAGGCAGGGCGCAGGGGCTCATTCCCCCACTTCTCAGGCAAGAAACTGAGGCCTGAAGCCCAGGGCCTGCAGGAGAACATTGTGCCTGCACAGATTACACTGGTCATAGGTGCAACTCTGTCCTGAGATCCCAGCAGGCCCCTGGCTCCTCCCAGCTCATCTCTCCTCCCCCCATCCCCGCCCCTGTGCCTTGCAATGCCCTTCCCACCTACAGTCCCAGGGATGGGGCCAGCTCGAGACTGTGACAGCAAGGACCAGCTCTTCCAGGAGAGGCCCATCTACTTCTGTTTCCTAAATCAATCTTGCTTCTTCTCTCTTCCTTCATGCAATTAGCTCCTTGCCCACCTGCGAGCCTCATGTAGCCAAGACTTGAAGGTAATTCAAACCACACGGGGAGGCGGTCTTCTAATTCCAGAAACTAATTTCTGTATTTTCTTCAATAGTGTCTACAGCCACAGCTGAGTGACAGCCAATTGAGTCTGGACACAGAGTGGCTTCTCAGGGGTGATGAGTGTGGGAGCCACAGCTGCTGTGGGCACTGACACCGGGAGGTGCCACCAGGCGTGTGGACGAGCTGCTCCTGTGAAGCCCCTGCCTAGACCTGCGGCCATACTCTCTCCCTGCCCCTCTCTCCTCAACCAGAGATGCCAGAATGAAACCAGCCCCCTGGTCACCACAGTCACTGCTCCCAAAGAAAGGACATGTGGGTGTGGCAGGAAGAGCTAGAGCCTGGAGACCCTACCCTGCCCACCTCTGGGGCCAGCCCCGCTAGGCCCAGCCACTCACTCATTCTTGATGAAGGCATATTTGTTGATGGTTTCAATGACGTCTTTGAAGAGGATCTTGGAAGTCAGAGTGTAGCCATGGTGCACAATGGGCTCCCCGTCGGGCCCATCCCAGCAGTCCACTGCAGGCGGGCAGGCCTTGGTCAGCCCCAGGGGCCTAGCCACAGTGAGCCCAGGCAGGCTGAGCTTCGACCAAAAGAGGGCCTGTCCCATTGCTCAGTGAGGGACACAGAAGAGGCCTTCCCAGCCCCTGCCCAGAGATCCCCCCGGGGGCTCCTCAGGTGCAGCCCATCTCCCACAGCAGATGCCAGCCCACGGCCGTCACCCAAGGTCCAGGGCTTACCCTCCACGCAGCGGCAGCCAGCCTGCAGGACCCAAGCATACATGTCCACCCGTGACTGGGACATGAGCTGGTCACCCACGAGGTAGGTGTTGTGGGACGAGGTGATGAAGTAGTGGCTCAGCGGCTGCGTCATGTCCTGGTGCACATGGTGGTGCTCAGGGTTGAAGATGTCACCAGCAGGGCTCCTGGTGTAGTTGGTGAAGCCTGCAGGACGGCGTGGCATAGGGGCCATGTCAGCCCACCACCAGCCTCGTCTCATGACCACCTGCCCCCATGCCACACAGAACACAGAACACCTGTCCCGGCCCACAGGTTGGGCCCTCGTTGCCCCTCCAGCATCCCAGGACAGCTGGGCTGAGGGCAGCGCCCCACTCACCATCAATGCCCAGCAGCCCCTTACTCTTGTTTTCTGGGCATGGCTCAAACTGCTCGATGATGTCCTGGCAGCTCTCGAGGGTCACACCCGCCATCTAGGCCAGAGCAGGGGCATGAGTCCAGGCAGCCCATCCCTGGCCTGGGATAGCCTCAGGCAGCTCCCCCATCACCACTGTCCCCTGCCTGTCTCTGATTACACCAGGGATGACCATGGCCAGCCAGCTCCAGTGTCACATGACTTGGGACTACCGTGGATCACGTGGCTTTTGGATGGCTTGCTCTGACTATGAACTCTGACGGCACGGGAGGGGCCTCTGACCTCATCAGCTGGACCACCCCACACCAGTGCGAGACCTGTGGCCCAGAGTGGGCCTGGCACGGAGCAGAGGCCATGTGTGGGTGGGTACAGGAGAGCAAGAATCTTCATGCCCCCTTGGCAGAGCCAGGCAGGCACAGGCAGCCCCCTCATCCAGCCCCTCCCACTGTCTGCCCAAGCCGTCACACACTAACCCTCCCAAGAGATCTGAGCACCACAGTCCGGCCCAGCCCAGGCCACCCCAGGCATCACAGGCCAAGGGACCTCCAGGGCGCTATGGTGCAGCTGGGCCAGGAGCTGCCCAGCCCACTGACACGGCTTCTTGGAGGTCCCTGGGAACATGGTGAGGTAACAGGTGGGGGAGCCCAGAGCCAGTTGTGGGCCCCTGGGGAGGCCCAGCAACCAGGAGGCCAGGCAAAGGGCACCAGTTGCCGGCTGGAGGACTCTGGCTCCTGAGTGCACAGAGGGTTCCACAAGGCTTGGGGCAAAGGTCAGGGAGGGAAGGGTCACTTCTGCCTGCCAATCCCCTATCCAGGCCCCATTCCCACCTCTGCCTTTACTGGGACAGAGGACCTACTATCTGCAGCCAGGTCACCCACAGACACATGCTGGTGCCGCCCCTGGTGGCCAGGGCACAGGGCATCCGAGACAGTGGGGTCTAGCCAACTGGTGCTAGCTTCCCCTGCCTGGGCCATGCGTCCCGGGTGTCATGCCTGCAGGACTGGAGAAGCGGCTGCCACGGGATGGAGCCTGGCAAGCTGCCCCGGCCAGGTGGGGGCATCCCGGGAGCTCAGGCCCAGGGACAGCCCCAAAGGCCAGCTCTGGGTTTGTGGTAAGCTTGGGGGTGGGGTACTGCTGGGAGATCCTGGGTAAAACCCACCCAGACCCTACCTGGGATTCCCAAGGCTCCTCCTGCCACTCCCATCCTCGCCCTCAGACCATCACCGAGAGGCTGACGCAGCGCAGGTGGCCAGTAGAGTGGAGGTCCCTAAGCAGCACCCCCAGGCCGAGGCCAGTAGAGTGGAGGTCCCTAAGCAGCACCCCCAGGCTGAGGCCAGTAGAGTGGAGGTCCCTAAGCAGCACCCCCAGGCTGAGGCCAGTAGAGTGGAGGTCCCTAAGCAGCACCCCCAGGCTGAGGCAAGTAGAGTGGAGGTCCCTAAGCAGCACCCCCAGGCCGAGGCATCTTGGTCCCCTAAGGCTTGCCCTGTCCCTGCTCTCCTCCCTGAGGAGGGTCCAGGGTCCTCACCTGCACTCCTACGAGGCTGGAGGGTGGCCACACACAGTCTGAGCCCCTCCCATGGATCCCTGTCCCCACTGGGGCTCCGGCCTTCCCCTCCGCTGCCTGGCTGGACCTGCAACTCCTGCCACCAGGGCATGCGGTACCCAGTCCCTGCCCAGGCCTGATACAAGATGGCCAGAGCCCTGAACCTCTGGAAATGAGGTCCTTGGTCAGTGGGGCAGCACTTGGCCTTGGCATTGGTCTCTAAGGATGGCCAGGATTTCTTGGGGTCTAGATAAAGGGCTGAGCATGCCCCTCTGGATTCCAGGAGGCATCTGAGTGTCTGCTGGACAAACAGGTGAGTGGATATTGTGGCGGGCCTGGCACCCTAGGGGAGCGAGTCAGCCAGACCCATGTGGCTGGAACACAGGGGCAGGTCTCAAAGGCTGGGCCACAGAACCCTAGTCCACAAGATGCTCAACACCAAGGCAGGAGGCATGGTCAAGCTGTGGGAGGCGCAGGGTGTTCACAGTCAGGACCAAGCCATTCAGGGGCCCCTGGAGGAGAAACCACAAACTTTCCCTACCTGCTTGGCTGCCCCATAGAGCGCACCCTGTAATATCAAAACTAAAGCCAACTTGGGGGGCTCTCAAATGCCAGGCTGTGACCTGCCCCACCCTAATCTCTCCATCTCAGAGCAGGGGCATGAGCCCAGGTAGCCCATCCCTGGCCTGGGATAGCTTCAGACAGCTCCCCCATCACCACTGTCCCCTGACTGAAGCTCAAAGCTCAGAACAGAAGGCGAGGCCTGATGGCTGGCCCCCCAACACCTGCCCCGGGCAGCACACCTTCTGCTCCACCTGCAGGAAGCGCTGCAGGCTGGCGGCATCCAGGTGGTCCTTGTGGTTGCTGTAGGTCAGCATGAGCAGGTAGAGGTCCCGGCGGGTGGACATCATCTTGTAGAAGGCACAGAACTCTTCAAAACCCAGCGTCCCTTGGTGGTCATCCGTGTCCGCTTCCTGCAATGCAAGGCCTTGGGTCCCCATTGGCACCTCGACCAGGGCCTGCATGCACAGGGGTCCTTCAGGACCACCCCACTCCCCAGTCAAGACCAACATGCAAGCCCACCCTCCTCTACTCCACTGCCCTTGTCACGGCCTCCAATCACTCCCCAGGGCACGGGCCCACCCACCAGGAGGACAGCCCCATGAAAATGCAGAACTGACGCACCTGCCTGAAGCCATATGCTTTTCACCTTCAACCCACAGCCACCTCCATATACTCACCCCACACAGCAGTTAACACTACCCACACGGAAGCCAACATCACCCATACGGGAGTCAACAACACCCACGCAGGAGTCAACACCTCCCCCACACAGCAGTCAACACCCCCCACACGGGAGCCAACGCCACCCACACGGGAGTCAGCGCCACCCACACGGGAGTCAGCGCCCCCCCACACGGGAGTCAGCGCCCCCCCACACGGGAGTCAGCGCCCCCCCACACGGGAGTCAGCGCCACCCACACGGGAGTCAGCGCCCCCCCACACGGGAGTCAGCGCCCCCCCACACGGGAGTCAGCGCCACCCACACGGGGGTCAGCGCCACCCCACACGGGGGTCAGCGCCACCCCCACACGGGGGTCAGCGCCACCCCCACACGGGGGTCAGCGCCCCCCCAAACGGGGGTCAGCGCCCCCCCAAACGGGGGTCAACAACACACTCTGGGCTGGAGGCTGGGCATCCCAGCAGAAACCCAAGGTGCTACAGGGGCCATGGGAATCCCATGGCAGCAATAAAGTCCCCATGGAAGGGGATGCTTGAAATCCTTGAGCCCTAAGGATTGAGGACTTTGCCTCACAAGGGTATGGGAGCCCAGGGCTGGGCAGGGCAGGGTGAGAGCATGACCTGCTTGGAGGTGACATGGCCCCAGTGTGACACCCCAGCTCAGCCCCTACTCACGAGGAACACCAGGCCCAAAGGGACGCAGTGCCTAGCCCTGCTCTTCAAAGAGTTCCAGAGTTCAACATTTCAGGCAGGGGCAGCCCTGACAGCTCGTTTCACACCTGCCCAGCTGCTCAGCATCTTGAGGGGTCCTACGCTCCCAGTGAGCCGCCTGCTGTCACTTCGGCCCTGGCCCCCCACTGAGGATGTGGCCAGAGATGGGACGGGCTGATCAGATATGCCTTGAAGGCAGGGTTCCGCCCTGCGCCTGCTCACCCCAGGCCTGGCCACACCGACACCCAGCCAGCAGGTGTCCGCCTACACTGGCTGAGTCCTCAGGCCTCCACGGAAGCCCCAGACTGGGTGCCCTGAGAAGCAGGAAATACCTCCAAAAGTCGAGGAGGTGCTGCATCCACCACAGCAGTAGTCTAGAGGCTTCGTGATTTGGGCTTCCAGACAAGCCCCGCTGGGTCCTCTTCCCAGAGCCCACACAGGCTGAGGACGGCGTGCTCTCAGCAGCCCACCCAGGGGCTCCAAGGGGGCCTGCGAGGAGCCCAGAGTGGGGTCGAGGAAGCAGGCTACAAAGGGCCACCTGCACGCTGGCCATGCCTCTCAGGACAGCTTAATGTCCTGGTCCACAGGAGAGTACCCAGGGCCCCGCCTCGGCCTGCAGATGTGCCTCAGCTGAGCAGGAACCAGGGCCGGCTCGGCACCATGGACAGCAGCAGCCACCAGCCTGCCACTGGGGACCAGCCTTGCCTCCTCCCGTGGCCACGATCTGGGGTGGCCAGGGGTGGTGGTGCCAGCTCCCCTGGGATCCCCTCTGAGCCAGGGGAGTCACCAGTCAGGTGGCCCCATCAGCCCCTTTGTCCCTGTCCCCAGGGCAGAGCCCTGGCTGCCACACGCCCTACACCCACGGCTTGGCATGAAGGTGGGTCAGGACCCCAGGGACAGGCTGTGTGCCCACACCAAGGCTGGGATGAGGCCAGCGTGGCATGAAGGGCCCAGCTAAAGCCACATGCACTGGGCCCAGCACACACCAGATGAAGCCCTGGGGTGCCTGGTGCGAGGTGTGAGGGTAGCCCCAAGTCTGGGGGTGCCCACTCACTGCACCCAGGACAGCCATGAGGGGACACACTGCAGCTCAAAGGGCCCCCATGGGACAGAGCCTGGGCTGATGGCCCTCCCAGGGGCCATGGGACAAAGCCCAGGCCAGAGGCCCTCCCAGGGCCTGTGGCTGAGCTGGGCAGAGATGCGGCCCCCTCCACAGAGTGGCTATGTGCCAGGGTGAGCCACTCACCACTGAGCAGGAACAAAAATGCTCGGACAGTGAGGCCCTCGGGGCCTGAGCCCCACCCTAGAACACCCCTGACACAGTCACGTGGCATCTTTTCTTTCCACAAAGGGAAGCCACTGCTGTTGAACGTGCACTTTGGCTGAGCCTGCCTCGGTGCCCGCCCAGCGCACTCTGGCAATTAGGCCCCACTGGGTCCAGCCCACTTCCAGCCTTATCTTAGGTTTGATGAAATTAGCCTCAAGCCAAGTGTTTATCCACCATGCAGTTCTCTCTGATTAGGCCGTGCCAGGCAATGGGAGCCATCTCCAGATTTCTCTACAGCGAAGCTGATGCCACTTCTCAGAGCCCCTCCAGCCTGGCTGCAGGCTCCTTCTCTCGGCTCTGCAGGGCCCAGAGAGGATGCAGTACAGATGGGCGGGGAGGCCCAGCGCTCTGAAACTGGGGCCGTCTCCAGCTGTCTTGACCACCAAAGACCAGGGCCACTGGGCCTCCACTACATAGGGCTGGAGTGCCAGGCCGGTAACCTGACAGCAACAGCTACCTCGCCATTCCTCTCCAGAGCCAGCCCTGCAGACTGTCCCTGCTTCCGCCTGCCTGGGGTTCCCTTAGGGAGGTCTGGTTGGACCTTCAGGCCCCAGAAACCACGCACACTCGTGCTGGATTCAGTGAGGGGCATCTGTCTCCTCCCACTCAGAGGCCACTCTGGAGCCTGCACCCTAAGCCACCCTGCTGCCCGGGCCCTGGCACAGCCTCAACTCTGTGGAGGGACCTGCTGGCCCCAGAGCTGCCCCTGAGCCCAAAATGTGGCTGGGGATGGCCCCAGGCAGGCAGGGAGAAGGGGCGCAGACATGCAGACTCAGCCACCTGCCAGCCCCCACAGCCCAGGCAGACTGTGTCCCCACTGGGGCCTTCACAAGCCCCGGGCAGTCCCCAGAGTGTCTGCAAGCACCCAGCCCCTAACTCACGCACACACCCTGTCCTGTGAGCAGGCCAGCTTCCCTTGCTCCAGCCAGGCATGACCAGCCACCTACAGTGAGAACAGGCAGCAGCTGGCAGGAGCTGGCAGGAGCTGGCAGGGGCTGGACACGGCGGAGCTGTCAGGCTGTGAGCATGTGTATGCGTGTGTGTGTGCATGTGTGTGCCTGTGTGCATATGTGTATGTGCACGTGTGTGCGTGTATTTATGCACGTGCATGCGTGTGCGTGTGTGTGCGTGTATGTGCGTGTCAGAGACCCCAGGGCCTGGCACTTGCACCCACAGAACCCGCTTTCCAAGCTGCAGCAAAGCAGCAAGGCCCCAGGGCCTGGTTTGCTGGCTCAGCCAGCACCACCCGGAACCAGGACCTGCTGACGGGCAGAGTTTCTCTCCCCCGGCCCAGCAGGCTTTCCGGAAACAGAAACCAATTACAGACAATAAAGGCCGCAGCTCAGCTGAAGGCTGCATTTTCATAACTCCTAACATCAGGGTGGTTGGGCGAGGGCGGCATGGGGAAAGTAACGAGCTGCTGCGCATCAGACTGGGCCCTGCCAGGGCTGGTGTACCCCCCTCGAGGCTGCGGGGCTGGGGCCTGGGAAGGGGGTGCAGCTTCATTTGGGCACCTGCCCTGAATGCCCAGTCCACTCACCTGGCAGGGCCTGTGCCAGGTGCCCCGACCACTTTCCCCAGAGCTGGCAGAGCAGCCCCCGGCCCAGCTGCAAAGAGGCAGCACCTGGGCACCCACCTGCCTGCCTGCCATAGGCTGTGGGGTGGCTGGTCAGACAGCCCCATCCTCAGCAGCCAGCTACTCTGTGCAGCTTGAGGGCACTGCCAGGGTCCCCTCCAGCTCAGTCAGGGCTGGCAGGCTCCCAGCCACACAAGCACAGCCCCCGTGCAGCCCTGGCTCTGGAGCCCAGGTAGGGCTCCCCCCAGCTCACCCTGAACATCTGCTTCACCCTCTGCCGGGGCAGGTTCACGTTGAGCTTGTGCAGCAGCTGCAGGACCTCGCCAATGCTCAGGCTGCCATCCCCGTTCTTGTCGGCCTCGTCAAACGTCTGCTTCAGCCACTTTGGTGCCGAGTTAGGGGCCAACAGCGATCCATGGGCCCAGCCCTGACACCTCCACCCTCTGGCCTAGGGAGGAAGGAATAGGGGACCCCAGCCTACCGGCCACTTCCCCAGTGTGTGACCCGGCAAAGGACAGGCCCCCCCAGGGTGAGCAGC
Source organism: Homo sapiens (assembly GCF_000001405.40). NCBI lineage: Eukaryota > Metazoa > Chordata > Mammalia > Primates > Hominidae > Homo > Homo sapiens. Next base: position 31,217 of record NT_187515.1, on the reverse strand, counting down.
CAAGGGGCCGGTCCCTGGGTCTGCATTGCCCGATAGGTGCCCAAGGATATTGGTCCCTGGTGCGCTGGCGGCGAGCCAGGCTGTCCTCGTCGCTGATGCCGGCCATGAGGTAGCGCAGGCCAGTGACCCAGGTGCGCGCCACCTCGCTGCTGGTGGAGACCAGGTCCAGCGACTCGCGGTGGCTGCCGTGGTAGATGCTGAAGCAGCAGTTGGGGTCGAAGCTGCCGTCAGGGTAGCGCTGGAAGACCTCCGACTGCCGCCCCTCACTCACCTCCTGGATGGAGTCGATGGAGACTGCGGGGTGGGGAGGGAGCACGGGTCAGGTCCCCGGGGGCCCAGCGTCCCCCTGCTGGCAGCCCCAACACTGCGGAGACCAAGCAGCCGGGAGCTCCTTGCCCACCTTTGCGGGACCCTCGGCAGGGCTCAGGGTCCAGAGTTCAAGAACCAAGGGTGAAGATCTGCGAGACTGCACAGCCCCCCACTGCTGACCCGTGTCCCTCCCCCTTTCCCTTTCCTGTGGAAAAGACACGCCCCCACGAGGGAGAGCATCCACCTCCCTCCACCTGCAGCCCCCAGTGCCCGGCTGGCCCGGGGCTCCACGTTTAACCAGCACGTCTCCACGTTCCAAGGAAGCCCCTGGACACCTCCAGGGCTCCAGCGCCGCAGGTGGGGACAGCGGCTCCAGGGACCCCCAGCTCCGCGCTCAGGTGCATCGAGGCTCTTGTGACCTCAGGTCCCCCTGGGGGCTCCGCAGCGCGACTCTCTCCACGGGCCCAAAGTGGCTACACGCTTGGCAACTGCTGGGCTGAGGCCTTGCCTGGCATGCCTGGGTCCTGACCATCAGCAAAGCCATCAGAAACCCTGGCTGCGCCCTGATCCCAGCCCTTGAGGACTGCCATGTCTCTCCCCAAACCGTGGGACCCTACCCGTTCCCTGTGTGCCTCAACTCTCCCCACCCACCCCCTGCACAGAGCCTCCATCTCGGGTGGCCCCTGCTCCCTCCAGCAGCCATGCCCAGTGGCTGCCTGAGCCACTGTTTGCACCCATACCCATCCATCAGCATACCTCTGTGGGGGTCGTTTCTGTTTATGGGGAGCTGTGACCTCCCCAGCTAGATGGACTATGCTGTGCCCCTCCTTCCAGCCCAGCACTCAGCACAGGGCTGGGCACAGTGCTACTCGGTCCTCACTGAGTCCCAGGGAGCTCTGCCAGGCGGGCAGGGGGCCTGGATCCCTCCTACCCCACAGCCCGAGGTCACTGCAGATCCCCAAGGCCACTGAGCCCAGAGGTGTCCAGGCCTAGGGTCTCGCTGCTCCTCAGCCATCAGTGGCTGCCCTGGGAGGGTCCCTACCGTCGTGTCCCCCCAGGGACTCTGATTTGTCCCCACCCCAGGGCTCCCACTCACTCTTGGCCTTCTCGTTCTTGCGTGAGGGCCTCCAGCGGATGCAGGAGCGGTGCTCGTCCAGGTAGTAGAAGCGGACCAGGCCCTTGGAGCCGCCACGCAGCTTCACCATCTGCATCCCCTCTTGCATGGCACCCATGCACCGCTCCACTGGACACGGGAGAGACACGGCTGTCAGCGGAGGCACAGCCACTCCTCGCAGGAGAGACACGGCCGTCAGCGGAGGCACGGCCACTCCTCACGGGAGAAACACGGCCGTCAGCGGAGGCACGGCCACTCCTCACCTCGCCCGGCCCCGCCCACACCGCCCTGCCAGTGACAGGGCAAAGGCCAGAGCCCAGGGCCACCTCCACCCCAGGTGCCGGCTTGCCTGGGTCACACAGCTCAGCTGGGCCCTGCCACTCCTCCCCAGATGGTCCTGGGAACTGAGGGCCCTGCTCCCCACCCTGCTCGGCCACCTGCCACTCCCACCACCTCCTGGACCAGTCCTAGCAGCCCTGGTAACCGGCGCTGGGCCTGGGGCCCCGAGAGCTACCACTCAGACGGAGCCAGCACAGAACTCAACAATGGGAAGGCCGGGCACGAGGCAAGACAGATGAGGTGGCTGGGCTGGCTGTCTGGGGCCATAGTGCAGTGGAGGCCCCTTGTCAGGGGCGGGGTGGGCCTAGCAGGCAGCAACCCCATGCCCCTGCCCCCGCCCCTGGCCACAGGTGGCTCCTGGGAGCGGTCGAATTCCTGAGTGCCTGTGCCCCTGCCTGGGGCATCTCCAGGAAAGCCCCCACCCCTCATGTGCAACAAGCGCCACGAATGGTGCCATGAATGTCTGCGTCGCACGCCCTGCACTGCAGTATGGACTTGGGAGGCTGTGGTGCCGGATCCGAGCTTCACAACCCCTCCCCTCCCCTCCCCCAGGCTGCCTGCCTCGCTCCTTCTCTCCCCTCCTCTCTCCATTCAGCCTCCTGCTGTAGCTTGTCCCAGGAGAGGGGGCTGCAGGGTCCAGGGAGTCCAGGCCAGAGTCAGCTGTCCCAGCCCAGGAACAGACTGGTCTCACCCCCTCGGTTCCTGCACACCTGCTCACAGAAAGCCCGGGTCCCAGAGGTACCATCTGCTAAAGCACAGAGACGTTAATCCCCACCCCAGGTCTGCACGCTGAGGGACCCTGGCGGGGGCGTTGTAGAGGACCAAGGGCAGTACTGGCCGGGCCTTCTTGGGGAAGCTACTACGTGATCACGAGCAGAGGGGAATTGAAGGGATGGAAGCCATGGCATGGGGGGCTGGGCTCTCCGGGGCACATGGGAGGTGAAGACGCAGGTATGGCTGCAGGGATTTAGGAGAGGGGTGAGGCAGGACACAGGGGCAGGGGGCGGGCAGAGGCCTGCAACAGGGCAGCCTGGACAGGACCCTGTCTGCCGCTGGAACAGAGAGCTGGCAGGCCAGCCCGGACCGGGGCCCTCCACAGGCCACCACAAGACACACACTCCACCCTCCCAGCCATACCCAGCCAGTCTCCTCTGCAGAGTCTCCTAACGGCAAAGGCCCTCATGTCCGGCACCAGGATGCCAGCCCAGCCGCCTGGGCTGCAAGCACCACTGACCCCCAGAGCACAAGGCACCCCTTCAATGAGAGCATTGGAGCCACCTGAGATCCCCCCTCGCCCCCTTGGGTTCAGCCCCCAGGCCCTGCAGGTGCCTGGGAGACCGAGGTGTGCTGAGCACGCCTCTGAGCGGCTGAGGGGCAGGGCCAGCCGACGCTGCTGGACCCACATGATCCCTAGAGCACCCGGGGGACAGGGGAGGCGAGTGCAGGATGGGATGGAGGCCCAGGCTTCCCCCACCTCCAGGAACAGCCCCCACCCACCAGTCACCTGGCCAGGGCCAGCACTCAGCCCAGGCCACTCGCCTGCCCCTTCTTACCCAGGGGGCCGAGCTGCCACTCTGAAGACAGCACCACACTCCCTCCAACCCAGAGGAGTACCTCCGCCAGCCAGGCCACCGTTCCCTTGGTCCGGCTGTCGGGGGAGGGCCATGGACCAGACATGGCCTGACGACAGCCGGGCCTGCTTCACGGAGGCCACAGAGGCCCACCGGCCTTCGGGCAGCGGAGGTCAGGCAGTGGCAGCGCTGGCGACAGGACCTCCGTGGGGCCTTCTCTCCTCTGCCTCTTCCTCCTCCTCCTCAGGGCCCTCCGAAGCCCCCACAGGGCTGTGCCCAGGCCCGGCTGGCATTGGCCTGACCGTCACCTGCTGTCCTGATGGCCCCCAGGCCAGCCTATCCACCCTCCAGGGCCACCAAGGAATCCCTGACGCAGCCGCCTCCCAAGGCTGGGGGAGCAAAGGACCTCAGCCCCGCCCAGCCCCAGGCCCAATCCCTGTGCTAATCCCAGCTCCAGCCCAGCTGGTGGAGGATTTAGGCCGAGGGAACTCCCAGCTGGGGATGGGAGGGCACTGGGGAGGCAACAGAGTTTCCCAAGGCCCCAGGCCACCAGACCCAGGTCAGGGCTGCGGGACAAGAGCAGGACCAACGGGAGGGCCCTCCTGGGACCCAGAGAACGCAACCGGAAGGCCTGCAGGGTACTGTCCTCCGAGGACCCTGTGTGGGGTGGGCCTCCCCGCTGTGCGCCCACCACAGATGCCGAGGCTGGGCCTGGAGTGGTCCCTGCCCTCACCCCGCATCCCTACTTATGAGGACCTCTGAGTGGATCCCCAAAGTCCAGAGGCAGGTGGCCCAGAGCAGGGGCAGAAGCTCACCTCATCCCCGCAGCGCCCAGCCCCTGTGGCTGGAGAGGGGAGCCGAGCCGGATCCCTTACAGCGACAACTCCCAGCCCAGGCCCAGGATGTGGGTCCCTGAGCCTGGGTTGGGCTCTCCATGTCTCCCTCATGCAGCTGCAGCCCCAGCCTGACCTTTCTCCACGGTCACCGAGCTGTGGCGGAGGAGGTGGCCCCATGCCCAGGGCACGTTTGTCCCCACATTCTGCCCTGCAGGGATGACAGCCATCTGACCTGGACAGGGGCCTCGCCCAAGGAGGACCCACCCCACCGTCTCAGCTCCCACTGAGGAAAGGACTCCAGGTCCCACTGCCACCAGGACCACACAGCCCACCCTGTGTACTGGCCCCGCACTACAGGACAGCACAGGCTCTCCCATCCCCAAGTCCAGGCCGGGACACCAGGGGCAGCTGTGGGAATGGGAGGTGGGCAGACCCCGGCTGAACACCAGCCACCTGTGTCCTGGCCATGCCCATGCTTCGTGACCACACTGGGGAGAACCCCGCCCTTCTTCCCACCCACTGCCCAGGCTCTACTGGCTCCAGCAACAAGGACTGGAAGGTTCCGGGCAGCTGCTCGCCTCCCCCCATACCAGGGGAGGAGTTTGGCCTGCAGAGCCCAGGACAGGGAGGTGCCAGGGCTGGGCATCCTGGCAGAGCCCCGGGGCCAAGGTCAGGCGTGGGAGGTGGCAGTCCCTGAGGAGATGGCCATGCGTCTCCAGCTGACCACTGACAACCAGGGCCACACCCAGCCAGATCAGATGCAGTCAGCACAGAGCCAACCCAGGCCCCCACCAGGGGCCCCGTCACAGGCTCTGCTGCTCTCGGCGGAAGCAGGTCAGCAGGCGTTTCTGGGCTCTGCCGTGGAATTAGATTAGGGAGCCATGAGCTGCAGGGAGAGGAGAGGGGCTGGAGTCCCGGGCGTCCTCAGGAAGACAGGGCCTCGGGGAAGGCCACCGTGTAAGGGGCAGCGCAGGGGCCAGGAGGTGGCCTGAGGGCCTGGAGACAGACCAGACGGCCATAGCCCTGGCCCAGGGCCCCTGCCCACCTCATACTGGGCTGCTGCGGGCTTCCACTCTGACCCAGGGGGTCCAGTTCTCCTTCCTGCACCTCAGAGGCCTCCTGGCCTGGGACACACCTGCTGTTCCCTCACCCTGGGCCTGGCCCCAGCTGGGGGTGCTCCCGTCTCTCACCCATCCCTCCTTGAAGCTCCCCAAGGCTGGGCCTCTGCTCCCTCCCTCCCTCCCTTGAGCTCTCAGCCACTAGCTGATCCCCCATCAGCTGGGGTTAGGGCTTGGAGGCCGCCATCTGCCTGGGCAGGGGTTCTGAGAGGAGCCACACATAGAGTGCCTGGCCCCAGCCCCACAACGTGGGTCCCAGGCTCCTGCACCCCAGGCCCCCTGACCTCCTCAGCAGCAGAGCTGGAATCCTCAACTGTCCAGGCGGGTGGAGGCCTGGCTAATCCCTTCCTGACACAGGCCTCTGCCGGGGGCTGCCCTGCCTGCCCTGAGGTCCAAAGGGACCGCCCACTCCCCTCCAAAACTCAGGCAGACACAGAACCGCAGCTGCAGCGTGAAGCCGGGGGTGCCCCGGGCCAAGAGACGTGGCAGGGGCCCAGGCCCAGAGACTTAAGAACCCCTCCCCACGTGCTGCCTGTGAGCCGGCCCAGGGCCCAGCCCAGCCCCCACACAAGGTCACGGAGGGGGCTGCCCCACCCCCATGCCGGCAGGCGAGCCCAGCCCCACAGCCTGCACTGACGGGCCCTCATGCTCACCCTGCCTGCCCTGAGCCAGGGCCCGGCCATCCTGAAAGCCCACAGGGAGGCCGAAGAAGCCACGCTCTGCTCTGTGGTTCCACACAGGGGCCCAGCCCTCAGCCATGGTCCACACCCACCCCCAGGCCGCCTCGGCCCCTCCCGTGAGCCTGAGCCAGGACACCTGATGTGGGAGCTCAGGTGGGATTGTAGCAATGCACCTGGCTGTGGGCCCACACCAGAGGCCAGACTGGGAAGGGCCGGCAGTCCTGGTCGGGCAGATATAGGCTCCGTCGGGGAGAGGAGGGCCCTGGCTCACCTGCTGCTCCCCCAGGTCCCTGCACAGCACAGTGGGGCTCCCCAGTCCTCAGAGCACTGCCTGACCCCGGGACATCCCTGGGGCAGGGACCTCGAAGTCCTCCTCCCTGCTCTGTCCCTGTGAGGCCATGATCCAACACGTAGCAGGCGCTGGCTGGACACAGGTGGACAGGGAGGGACGGGCAGGACAGAGGCAGCTAAGGCCACCAGGCCTGCTCTGAGGAGGTGACGGGAGCCAGTGTCCACACTGGTGTCCAGGGTCCAGCTCTCAAGGGTCTGGCCGGCTTCAGCCCTGGGCCTGGAGAAGCCTCCCACACAGATGCACCCAGATGGGCGGATGGGTGGACAGACGGGCAGACGGGGCTGCACCCCAGTTGGGGAGAGTGCATGGGAGGGCTCTGCGGGCCCCACGGTGACACGCAGAGGAATGCGCCCGTGATCCCCTGGGCTCAGCCCCCGCACCTGGGCTGCACCGGCCCACCCTGACTGCCTGGCCCTGGTGGCTGCTGGGAAGCAGGGGTCCTGGGCCTGCCCCCCGACCTTGGGTTGTCCTCCCTGTCTCAGTGCCTCAGTTTCCCCACTGTGAGAGGTTTGCTCCTGCAGCCCCTTCCTTTCTTCCCAAGGCTGGAACCGGGCGGGTGGCAGCTGATTAGAGGAAGAGCGCGCGCTGTCAGAAGCCAGGGCGGTGTTGGCTTAATTTTGTTTTTATGGCGGAGATCGATCTTGTCCTAACACAGCAGGCAGCATGGGCCTCGCGGCTGTCATCAACAAGGGGCCAGCGGTGGCTCAGCATCTCCGCCTCTCCCCTGGGGAAGGCTGGAAAATAATGAATCTTCCAACAAAACCCACAAATCACACCCACAGGCCTCCCGGCATGTACACACACACCCGGGGCAGCTTTGGGTACCGCAGCCCCTCCCACGACAGGGGCATGGGGACTGCACATGCCCCTCCACCAACCTCTTCCCTTCACGAGCGTGTACGGGACGGGCAGGGGCCCCACCTCTTCCAGGCCTGTCCAGAGGTGGCCCTGGCTGCCTCTAAGCCCCCTCCTCTCCCGACGCTTGCTGCCTTTCAGCAGGACATTTCAAAGGACCTCCCTGGGCCCACCCGTGTCTCCCTCTGAAGCCCCCACAGGGCTGTGCCTGGGCCCGGCTGGCATTGGCCTGACCGTCACCTGCTGTCCCAATGGCCCCCAGGCCAGCCTACCCACCCTCCAGGGCCACCAAGAGTCCCTGAGGCAGCCGCATCCCAGGGCTAGGAGAGCAAAGGACCTCAGCAGCAGTGAGGCATGAGGGCCAGATGCTCCTGCAGCCCTTCCTGGCCCTGGCTCTTCCGCGCCCCCCTGCCCCTCGCAGCCCCAGCATCCCCCTCCCGTGCTGCCCCCAAGGGCCGGCCCAGCATGCAGGAGGGGCTGAGGCTGTGCTTGGGTGGACGGGAGGGAGGAGGAAGTGGCCACCTTGCCCCAGCCACAGTGCTCACTGGAGATCAGCCGGGCCCCTGGACTGGCGCCGCACGGGAGGGAGGGCCGGGCCCACACACATATGGCGGAGATTATTTAAACGTCTGAGAGAAGCCACTTGTCCCCCCGCACGTCTGGGAGCCTCCTCCCCAACTATTTTTATTTTATCAGGAGTGTGAGTCGGTGCCTCGAGCCCTCCCCACAGGCAGGACCCCAGAGTGGTCGTGCTAGGAGCCCAGGGATCCCAGAGTCAGGCTGGGCCTGAGGGGTCCCAGCAAGGGCAGGGGAACCAAGGGCAAGTGCCCGGGGCCTGTGGGGCTGGGGCCACCCTAGGCACACCTGGAGGGCACCGCAGGGACAGACGCTCTGCCCTCTCCTCTGGCAGCGCCCTCCGTGTGGCAGCCACTCCAGCTCTCAGCAGGAGGTGGGGGCGTTGTGGAGGGAAGGGCCTGACCCCATGGCAGTACCCAGCTCGGCAGGGGAGCAGGCCGGAGGGGGCCCTGGGGCCTGACTTTGTTCTGCCCCCTTGGGTGGCTCCTGGTCCGTGTGCACAGAGCCCTGGGGGAGCTGGAACGGCCAGTGTCCTAGAGCGTGGGGACAGGTTCTCGATGGCCAGCCATACTCCATCGGCCGCGCCACCTGACCTGCCCTCCACCTTCCACCGGCCCCAGAGCAGGGGGAGGACAGCAGCCAGGCTCATGCTCCCCTGGTGGCCCAGCTGCTGCTAGAAGGATCCAGCTCCCACAGGGCCCAGAGGGAGGGCCAGCAGACACCTTTCTTCTGTCATCCGGCCACCCGGTGTGGAGGGATGGACAGGAGGACTTGTGATGGTCACAGGTGTCCAAAGCAGTCCCAGTTGCACAGAAAGGTGCAGGAACTTGAGGCCACTGGACCCTCCAAGCAGCCGGCAGTGGCAAGTGGACAGGATGGCCTCTGAGGCCAGGTGACCCGTACCTTCCCCCAGTGCAGCCCTTCTTGTGCAGGTGGGCGCCTGCCCAGCCCAGGCCTCCACACTCTCCAGCTGGCCCGCTATGGCCAAGGGGGCCCCAACATCTGGCCTTTCTCTGGCCTCTTCGGGACAGCCAGGGCCAGGTCCCCATCTCAGTAAGGGTCCCTCCCAGAGTGGGCTCCCCTTCCTGCCCCCTCGCCGTCCCCAGCCATCCCCAGCTGGTGGCAGCCCAGCTCACAGCAGCGGTATTAATCGCACTTGACAGCCCCATCAGGAAGGGGACCCTATTAATAGCCCATTTCACAGCTTCCTCCCCCCACCGCGAGTGCCCCCCCCATTGTGTGTCCCTGGAGGCTCCTGTCCCTGCCACAAGTCACTGGTTTCTCTGAGGCCCTGGCTGCCTCTCTGCCCTCACTGAGCAGGGCATGGCCAGCAGGGGCATCGCACCCACCTGGCCTGGGGCTCTCTGAAGGCAGGTGCACGGCCTTGCCCCCAGCCACCGTCCAGGACACCCCAGAGGAGCTGCAGAGGGAGCCAGGCTCGTGGCAGCCACGGTGGGGGAGCCTTTCCTGAAAAGTCACCAGATGGAGCCTGGCCTGCCAGCTGGGAGAGAGGGAGCTCCTGCCGAGTGAGGGGAGGGGGCTGCAGCTCCAAGGGGAGGGTCCTCGGGCCAAGTGGTCAGAGCCAGCCCTGCCCCCAGCCCATAGCCAGGCGCGGGAGGGAGGGTGGCAGCTGGGCCGCTGCCAGGCAGAGCAGGCATGGAGCCACGGAGGAGGCGAGGAAACAGGAGGCTGAGCCCGCCACATCCGTCCCGGCACGGGGCTGCTCTTCCCGGCCAGAGCACCCCGGGCCACTGCCAGGCCGGGGAGCAGCCCCACGAATGCTCTGCCAGAGAGTCTCAGACAGAGAGGGTGTCCTGGAGATGGAGCTGGCCCTCTGAGCTTCCCTGCCTGAAGTTTCTGGGATCTTGTATAGTCGTTCCGTCCCTGTCTGGACCTCCCTGCTCAAGCTGGCCCTGGGGCTGGGCTGGCTGCCCTGTCTCCCACTCCTGCCTTTTGGGAGCCAGTGAGGTGCTCCCTGGGTCGGCCCCCACCCACACACCAGCTGACCCAGGAAGGGCACAGGGCTGCCCCTGAGAACTGGGCCGCCCGAAACCTCCACAACAGGGACCTGAAAGTCGGAGCAGCCAGGGGCCTGATCAATGTGAAATCAAGACCACTCAAGTCCCTCAGAGGTGTGTTCCTGGGTCGCCAGGTCTGAGCGGTGGAAGGGACCTACTCCCAGGACAGTGTGGCCACCGTCCCCAAGTCAGGGCTGCATCATGGTGCCTGGGACCTGCCTGCTGAAAGAGCCTCCTGTAGCCCTCACCCAGGTGCTGCTCTCTGGGGCAGAGCTGGAGGGGGTTCCACAGTCCCACCAGAGTGGCTCACTGTTGTCTCCAGTGACCGTCAGCCACAAGGCCCCCTCTCGGGGTCTTCACCCAGCTAGCATGGAGCCATGCCTGCGGCCACCACGGTGAGTGACTTCTCAGGAGCCAGAGGAAACGTCCTGTCCTGGGGATGGTGTCCACCAACTCCACCCTGCCCCCACACGGGAGGCCCGCGCCCACTCGCCTTTCCCACACAGGAAGTCCGTCCAGCCGGTGGGAGCCCACGTATGCAGTGCTGGGAGCAAAATCCCGGGAAGAAACAGGCACGTTGGATTACTCATCCCCTTCCCCAACCCCTCCCCCTGCCCACCCTCAATGAAGGTGGAGCCACTGGGCCTGGGTCCCTGAGAGGGCCCCAGGCACCCCACACACACCTGCCCCAGCAAAGGGCACTGCCCGGGCAGGGCCAGCCCATGGCTTCTCCAGGAGAAGGTGCCAGGAACTGGGACGCCATCGTCATCAGCTCATTAGCTGTGCAGATGGAGGGCTGGACCCAGGACACTGGCCCATCTGCTCCGTCCTCGGCGGCACGTGGAGTCTGTAAGGACTGTTCTGCTGGCTCCCCTCCCTCTGCCCAGAGGACGCAGGCACGGAGGGTGGGCTCAGAGCCACTCCCACCACTGCCCCCTCCTAAGACTAGGCCCTTCCCTGGCCAGCTGCAGACCCCAAGTGTGCTGGGTCTCCTGGAACCTGGGGCTTTGGGGCCACCCGGCAGCAGCCAGCCCCTGTCCACAGCAGGCAGGCATCCTGAGCCCAGTGGCCAGCACAGGGCAGTGACTCCAGGGAGCTCTCTGCAGGCCAGACAGGCAGGAACCAGGGACAACGTGCCCAGGAGAGCCCTGGGATGGGGGCTGCGGTCAGCGAGTGGGTGCACCTGGAGTGACCTGAATATACAGCCCATCCTACAAACAGTGTCTGCCCAGCAGCCCTGGTTACATCTGCCACACTATTCTCCATTCAGAGAGGGCACCTCCACTGGGGGTGGGACAGAGGAGGGGACAGGCACCCTGGAGCAGCTGCACAGGCCAGGCACGGCATGACCACTGCAGACAGGCTTGCTCTGAATGCCCACAGCCACCCTGTGAAAGCGCCCCATGCTATCCCTCTTGCCCATGGAGGCTCAGAGAGGCTCAGTCCCTTGTGTGAGGTCACACGGTTTATCAGAGGCAAAAACCAGCAACCCGTCCCCAGTCTGCCCAGCAGCGATGCCATGTCCCACCCCACGTGTCCATGCCAATCACAGGGCAGAACAAGCAGGTTCCAAACCACCAGGAGGCAAGCTCCTACTGTCCCTGGAAACCCAGGAGTTCCTCCTGGTGTCTGGCCTGAGCCACTTCTTCTGCAGCCGTGGCCACTGTCCCCCTTCACGTTTTCCTCTCCCCGCCCCTGGCCCAGAGCTAGCGCTGTGTTTGGGGAGCTGGAGACCCTGCCCCTCTGGCCCAGAGCTAGCGCTGTGTTTGGGGAGCTGTAGACCCTGCCCCAGCCAGTGCTGAAGGGGCCTGCCCAGGATGCCCCTCGGAAGCTCCTGCTGTGAACAGCCCCGGGGCTTCCGCCACCCCTGCTGCTCCGCTCTGTCTGCGCAGGGCAATGTCCGGCTCCCAGGTCAGGAAAGCGTGACAGATCACAGCAAGAAATCTCCAACCCGGAGCGGAGCGGGATGGGCCAGACCAGAGTGTAACTCCAGGGAACCCTGAGGACGCACAGCAACTGCAGGCCCCCCAGAGAAAGCAGCAGCTGCCCCTGTCCATGGTGCTGACTGCAGCTCAGGGCCACCTTTGCCAACCTCGATCAGGGGCTGGGGTGGGGTTGGGCCAGGAGAGCCCCCAGAGCCAAAAGCCAGAGCCTACCAGCCCCTGGCACCCCCAGACCTGCCCCCCACCCGAGCAGTGTGCATCCGCTGGGATCAAGCTGGAGGTCAGGACCCGTGCTGGCATGGCTGAGGGCGCCTCCCCCACCGCCCACCTGGACTGTGTTGGACCCTTTGCAGGGAGCAGACCCTCTCGCTTTCACGTGTCAGCACAGGGGCAGATGAGGCAGGGTGGGGGCGCCAAGGGGTGGGGGCAGCATCCCTCCTCTGGGACCGAGTCTGAGGGATGTGCAGGTAATGGGGTCATTGGGCCGTGCTCCCGGAGACCCTGCTGGGAGGAGCTCTGCACTGCCCACGGGGGGTCAGTGGGTCACCAGTGAACAGGTCCGGTCCTGGGCGGGTCACCAGTGAACAGGTCCGGTCCTGGGCTCCCTACGGGGACCATCACAACCCCCTTCTGGGATCCCACCTGCCCCCTTACCTTGGTCTTGGCTGAGCCCACCTGGGGGCCCAGGCTCTTCCATGGCCGGCGGGTGCCAATCCCAGTTACCGGCACGGCCCGAGGGACACCGGGCCCTGTGCTGGCCCCCGGCGTCCCCTGAGCCCCAGCCCGAGCAGGGGCACCCCGCGCGCAGAGCCCATGCCGATCGCAGCCCCACACGCTGCCCTGCCGCGCCCGCCCGTGAGGAAGGTGAGGAAGGCGAGGGGAAGGCGGGACGGGGCCGCCGCTGGGACCGCCCCTCCCGTGGGAGCCCCGCCCACTTAACCCTTGGCTGCCCAGCCCGGGCCCAGCAGCCTCTGCTGGAGTGGGAAGGGAGGACACCTGGGCTGGGGTCTCTGGCGGGAGCTGAGCTGGCTCCGCTGAGAGGCCAGAAGGGGAGGCGGGTTGGCTGCTGGCTCTTCCCATAGCAGCTTGAGCGACCACCCACCGTTCATCCTGTCCTCCCTCCCTCCCTCCCTCCCGGCAGGGCTCCTCCTACTGAGGGGTGGCTGCACCCCCAGGACCAGAGCCAAATGCTCCCTGGCTGGCTGCCCCTCCACCACAGGGACCCTCTGGTCATTACACCCCAGGCCCCGCAGGCTGCAGCCAAGAAGAGCCACTCACCCCAGGAGGGCCTCTGGGAAGGGCTGAGCACTGCCAAGGGTCATTGAGGTGACATTTCACTGGCTGCCCTGGGGGGCGTCCAGCGTTGGGGGAGGCCGAGTTCCAGCAGTAGCTCCTGGTGATGGTGACGGTGACGGCTGCAGCCCTGCGTGCTGCTACACCCCTTCCTGTGCTCTCCCAGCCCCTCGCCTCCCTGCCCTGTCTGTCCAGTGCTGAGCTGCCCGCGCTGGGGTCCTCTCCCTCTCCGAGCCAGCATTCTGCCTCCCCCTGCACGCGCTGCTCCCAGCATCTGAGGGACGTAACATTTTCCAGACAAAAGAGACGTCCACCCATGGGGGGTGTTCTGAAAGGTACCACCTCTGCCCCAAGGGGCCTTGAGCCCCCATCCCAGAGTGCGGCCTGGGAGGCTTGTGTGGACACTGAGCCCCGGATGTGGGCAGGGCAGGCAGGCACGCAGGCCCGGGCAGGAGGATGTGGGGCCGCCTCTGGGCTCTCTGAGCCGCTGCCACCTCAAGGTGTGACCACCTCCTGCCATGCGGGGCCCCAGGTGTGGAGGGGGAGGGGAGCCACCAGCAGCTGCAGTCACCACCTGGGTCCTGCCAAGGAAGGCCCCTGGGCGCAGCTGCCTGGCACCCTCAAAGGAGCTGCCTCCTGCCTTTACCACCACTCAGGTGGCCTAGGACCCTCGGCTGGACCAGCCCCTGCCCTGGGCTCTTGGGACCTGCCCTCGTGAATGAACAGTCTCTCTCACGACCCATTCGGCACAGCCAGGGTCCCAGGGCCTGTGTCCGCCTGGCTGGGCACAGCTGCGAGAAGGGAGGGGCGGCCCCCTCCCTCTGGGCCCCAGGTCTCAGTGGGTCCCGGTGCTGAGCTGAGTGGCAGGGCTGAGGGGAGGCCAGGCCACAATGGGGGCTGTCCAGGCAATGACACTGCAGTGCACGTGTGCCAGAGGCAACCAGTGGCCCAGGAGCAACAGGCGTCCCAGCATCCCCCACACCTGGGCTCTGCATGTCCCCTGGGACAGTCCACTCAGGAAAGGGCCAGCAGCCCCAAGTCTCAGAAGGGAGAAACTGAGGTGGGGAGAGGAGACAGAAGGCGAAAGCCACAGACACGCCCAAGGGTGGGAAGGAGGGAGAGGGGTGTGCGGGCTGCAGGTCCCGACCCAGCCACGCCTCCTTGGAGTGGACAGAGGCCCCTGAGCCCCCTTCCAGAGGCCGGTGAAACCCAGGTTCAGGTTCTAAGGAATAATCCATCCTCAGGGCCAGCCCCGCCCGCCACTCAGCCAGGAGATGATTTCCGTCACCGCGGCCTGCGATTAAAGGCGGTGATTAAAAGCCGCCCGCTGCACATGTTAATTTGCTTAAGATTCTGATCTCCTAAATCTCTTTTCTGGGCATTTAAGCAGAATTCTGTCTTTGAGAGCATTTGGCCCGGCGGGTGGCAGGTGGCGGGCGGCAGGCGGCGGGCAGCAGGTGAGGAGGCACCATGGTGGCAGGGGAGCCAGGCCCCAGGGAGTTTAATTTTCTCCTCGTTTGAAGAAGGCGACTGGAAGGAACAAGCACATCCAGGGACGCAGAGCCAGCTGTGAGCCCGCCAGAGCCCCTGCCCATGGGCCGGCACAGCTGGGAGGACCAGACCCAGCTTCTGCCTTGGCCGGAGGGTGGAGGGCAGAGGGCAGAGGGTCCCCACCCTGTAGGCCCAGAGCTGTGTCTCCTCAGCCCCGCTTTCTGGGACTGGTTCTTGCCTTCCGGGTCTGAGAGGCTGCCCCTGTCCCCACAGTCTAAGGCTGGATTTGGCTGTGAGCCCTGGCTGGATCTCTCCTTGGGTTCACAGGCATTGCCAGGACAGAGGCCGGAGGAGACCACACCCTGAGACAGGGCGAGCCTAGACCTTGGCCCACAGCCCTAGGTTCTCAGCTAGGCCTGTAGGTGGGCAGAGCTGATCCCCCTTCCCCTGTGCCTCAGTTTCCTTGATGTGCAATGGAAACACTGCACACCTGCTCCCCGGGCCCTGGCTCTGCACACAAAGGCAGCCACTTCCCCTGCCCTCTTGGGCTTCAGTGACACCAAGCCCAGCCTCAGGGCCTGCTGAGCCCCTAACGCCTCCTGCAGAGCCGAGCCTGAGGGTCCCGTCTTCAGTCTGTGTGAGTTGACTGAGAGCTGGCCGTGAGCCCGAGGCCACCTGAACCAGGTGCTGCCCTGACCTCCATGCTGCCCACCCCAGAGTCCGCAGTGTCTCCATCTCATCTCTTTCAGCTGGAGGGGCTTTCTTGCCCTGCAGGCTGGACAGAGGCCCCAAGCAGGCAGGGCACCACCCAGCATCTCACAGGGGTAGGGGTGGGAGGCAGCTGAGTCCGGACAGAGCCCAGGCCCCGGCTTCCCTGCAGTGCACCTTCCATTCCTGCTTTCTCCATTGGCTTGGGGGAGCAGGAGGTGGCCCCCCTCCTCAGCCATCCTGCAGCAAAAGTTCCTTCACGTCTCATCTCCAAAGAAAACCATTTAGGTGGCCCCTGCCCCAGGGCACAGGTTCAGGAAGACACGGCCAGCCCAAAGACAGGGGCCACTATAGGCCAGGGTTGCTCCAGGCTCCCAGGCACCCCTGAGGACCTCTGTGCACTCGTGTGCATGCCCAGGGGCCAGATAAGCACTCCATGCACCAGCCTGCGTCAGGATTGCCAATTCTGAGCCCGCAGGTGACCCTGTGTTTGAGCACAAACAGCCCCAGAGAAAGCCAAGGATGGAAAGATGGAGATGCACATCGGGAAGACCAGAGTAAGGGCAGAGTGGGGAGGGGAGAAGCTCGTGAAGCCCCCCTGCCAACACTCGAACCCCATGGAAAGAGACTCCACCCCCAGGACTTCCCACAGCCCAGCTGCTTCTGAGCCCCAGAGCCCTCTCTTGGACAGTGGGCAGCACCCTGTGCCGCCAGGGAGGCCAGTGCCCTGGTCACACCCGCAACCAGCTGCCGAGCGATCCCACCGCACAGAAGCCCAGCACCATGTCCTCTGGGGCTGCCAGCAAGGGGTGCCCTGAGTGTGTTCCAGAAAATGCCACTGTAGACAGGAGCCGGGAAGGGCAGTGCTCCGGCCAGCTCAGGAGACCCCAGTTCACACCCTGACTCTGCCCGACTCTGTGTGCCCCATGGGAGTTCACTGCCTCTCCGGCTTCAGTTTCCCTGTGTTGAACCAGGGAGGACCAGCAGTTCTCCAAGGGCCTGGCCAGCTGGTGCCTTGGCTCAGGCCATGGGGAGGAGGGTTCCCAGAGGAGGGCAGTGGGCACCTTCAGTGCGGTCTGGCGGGGGACATTCTTGCACCAAAGGTCCAAGTGTGATATCCCCCTGGGTGGCCACTGCTGTGAGGAGGGGCTAGGAGCCCTGTTCTCGGGTCGCGGGCTCTGACCAGTCTCCGGGCTGCAGCTGTCTCCCAGCAGCCTCCAGGAGCAGAGCCCTGAGAAACCGCCTCCCGCCAGCGGTGTGGGGCCTTCGTGGGGTGCCTCGGTTTCAGCTTCCGAGTTCTGTCCTACATATGTCTCCAAGGAAACGCTTCCCGATGACCTGCTGCAGTAAACAGATTCTCGGCTGCAGCCCCGTTCAGCAAACTTCAGCAGGCAGGGGCTCTGCAGCCTGCCTACCAGCACCAGGGCGACCTGGGGACACAGCGAGGTCCCCCATGTGTCCCTGATTCTGCTCCTCCACCACCTTGGAATGTCTGAGTTCGACGGGCCCCCAGAGGCCCCTGGATCCAACCTCTTCACTTTTCAGATAGGGAAACTGAGGCAGGGGACTCTTGCCCGGGGTCTCACAGCCCAGCTGACCCTGCAGCTCCCCCTCCGGGGCTGGTCCACAACAGTCGCACTGGCCCTGCAGCCCCCTGGAGGTGAGCACCCCAGCCTCCTCATCGTGCACAGAACGTCCTAATTACCTCTCAGAGGTGCCAAGCGCACATTTAAAGACAGAAATGCAGGCCCCTCCAATGACGAGACGGTGCTGACAGCTCTGCGGCTGGGAGAGACACAGCCCAGAAGCCCATACCTCAGACATTTCATTAATTATTCAACATCAAAGCGAATTCCGTGTTGCTTTCTTGCCTGGTTTAAGAGTTCTATGGATGTTACGGCTTCGGTTAGGAAACTAAGCCCACTGTGGGGGCCTCGAAGGGCCAGATCCACCCCCACCACCCCGACACACATCTTGGCACCAGGATGGGCTGAGCGACCTCCTGTCCTGGGCAGTGGCTAGGGGGTGGGAGCACAGAGTAAGGCAAGGGATGCCCCTCTAAGGCCCTGCTGTGTCCCCAGCACAAAGATCCCCTACTGCCTCAGCCCCCAGGGCCCCATGTGAAACCACCCCAGCGATGCCCAGAGCCCAGAGCTCGGTTCTGGGGCTCTAAGGTCACAGAGGAGCACATCGCCTGGCTGAGGAGGAAGACAGACCAGTGAGGACCTGGCCAGACTGACCACGGGCCACCCAGACTGACCGTAGTTGCCCCGGATGGACCAAGATGCCTTGGGGTGACCACCTGACAGCAGGCCATGGGGACAAGACCACGCATCAGGCAGAGGGGGTGTCAGGTGGAAGGGTGTCAGATGGAGGGGTGTCAGGCAGAGGGGTGTCAGGTGGAGGGGTGTCAGGCAGAGGGGTGTCAGGCGGAGGGGGTGTCAGGTGGAGGCGGTGTCAGAGGGGCTGTCAGGCAGAGGGGGTGTCAGGCAGAGGGGTGTCAGGCAGAGGGGGTGTCAGGCAGAGGGGTGTCAGGTGGAGGGGGTACCAGGCAGAGGGGTGTCAGGCAGAGGGTATCAGAGGAGGTGTCAGGCGGGGGTGTCAGGTGGAGGGGGTATCAGGTGGAGGGGGTGTCAGGTGGAGGGGGTGTCAGGCAGAGGGGTGTCAGGTGTAGGGGTGTCAGGCGGAGGGGGTATCAGGCGGAGGGGTGTCAGGCGGAGGGGGTGTCAGGTGGAGGGTTGTCAAGCGGAGTGGTGTCAGGTGGAGGAGGTGTCAGGCAGAGGGGGTGTCAGGCAGAGGGGCTGCCGAGTGGCACAGCCAGTGCAGGCAGAGTTCCAGAGAGGGGGCGCCAGGGGAGGCAGCCCCAAGAAAGTGGGACTCAAGCAAACACAAGCTGATGGGACAGGGGGTCCCGGGTGGATGGCCAGGGAAGGCCAGATGCAGAGGCCCTGGGGGGGATGAGTCTGGCATCCCCAGCTGCCCTGCCCACCTTCCATGGTGCCATTCCCCAAACAAAGGCCCCAGCCCTGCTCCTGGTTCCCCCAAGCCTGGGGGAGTTGCAGACAGGTTCAAAGGGAACATTGTTAATGCCAAGGCAGAGGCGCAGAAGAAACAAAGAAGACAGAGCAAGAAACAGCTGGATTTGAGGCCCACAGAGGCGGGAGGCATGGGGATGGGGTGTCCAGTGGGCGTCACTGTCCCCACAGTGTTCCCTGTTGCGGGCTGGAGGGGAGCCGAGGCCCCAGGGCTGGGTAACCCAGCAGGGAGCGAAAGCTGAGCCAGCCACAGGGACCGGAGCTTCGGGAAGGCTCTGCCCTGAATCATCTCAGCAGGACCCACACATCCTAGCCTCCCAGTGCCCAGGGGCCAGGTCCCACATGGACCGAGCTCAGCCCGCCCTGCTAGCAGCATCCACAGTCACAGCAGGTGCCCACATGCCTCCCTCCTCCCTGCTGAAGGACAGCCTTGCCAGGGGGTTCAGGCACCACCAGAAGGGCCCTGGCCAAGGTCGGTGGGTCAGGTGTCCAGCCCCGGGCTGCAGAGCCCCACTGGACGCTGAGGGAGCAGGCACTGCCCTGGCTGCCCAGCCCTACCCCCCTGCAACAGCCTGACCTACATTCTGTGCCCGCATGCAGCAGCCATGCAGAGCCTTGGCCAGCCTGGCACGGAGTCCAGTGAGCAGGATTGCAGGACGAACACTGCCCCATGGCCACCAATGCAGCCACGTCCCAGGACACACACCCTCAGCAGGGTCTGTCAGGAGCTGCTGGCCACCTGGCCCCACCCAGGCCCTCCCCATGTGGGGGTGTGAGATCCGGCCCCAGAGAGGGGCACTGGGCACACTCCTGAGCCCCCACGCCACCAGGCTGGCACCCAGCCTCAAGGGCCTGCTGAAGGAAGGGCAGAGAGAGAAGAGGCGAACCCGCAGCTGTTGCCCTGCAGGTGGGGAGTGTTGCCGCTGCACTGAGGGGTCTGAGGCTCAGAGAAGCTGTGAGACCTGCTAAGTCCACACGGTCAGTCACGGTGAAACCTGAGCTCAGGTCAGCCCCTGGCTGCTGGTCAAAGGCCCCCACAGCCTTGGCCCCACAGGCAGGCCAGTCCCCACCCCCAGGACCAGGAGCCCCTTCAGCCTCACCAGCCTCCACCAGGGTCATCAGGCCCGAGCAGCCCAGCTTACACCTGGGTGCCGCCCCAGGCCTCCCAGCTGCTTGCATCGTTAAAAATATGAAAATCCTTGAAAAAGAAGCAGTGTCCCTTTTATGCCACTAAGCCCCTGCCTTTGGCTCCCAGGATCCCAGTCCTCAGACTCGGTTCTCAGGCCAGAGGGAGCCCACACGGCCCATGCCCCGGGGCCAAGACCTGCCACCCTCTGCGTCCTTCCTTGCCTGTCTCCAGCCCACCTGTTCCATACCCCTAGCCATCAGCCGGGGTTTACTAACCACCTGCTGTGTGTGGGCATGGCTTAGAGCTGGAGAGGAAGTGAGGAAACCAGAGGTAGGCCCCGCACCCAGAGGGCTTCTGGTCTGGGAGACACAGAGCAGTGGTCAGGGGTCCTAGCTCTTGGGGGAACCCGGCCTGGGACCCCGGGGCAGCATGGCCTTAGAAAAGCCCTGGAGAGAATGGGCTGCTTTCCTGGACAGCAGGGCCCCTGGGGACATGAAGGGCCAGTCCCATGGGGGCACGGGCCCCTCCCTTAGGCCAGGCTAGAGCAGCAAGGGGAGGAACCGGAGGGCAGAAAGGGCCTGGGCAGGGCTGGACAGCGCCAGCTGGAGCACAGTCACTGCCGGAGCAGAAGAGCGCTTGGCCCAGGTCCCAGCTCAGGGTGCTCGCTTGGAGCCAAACAGGCCAGAGGGGAGCGAACAGAGTGGTGAGGGGCCGATGGACGCTTCCACTGGCCGCATGGACCGGCCCCTCACGGTGCCAAGGAAACAGCCCCACCATGAGGCGCTGAGCAGAAACTGGCCTCCAAACACTGCCCGCCGTCCACGGCCGGCCGGTCCTGCGTGTGAATTACTCAGGAGCGTATTCCCCACGCGCCAGCACTGCATTCAGATAAGCGCTGGCTCAGTGTCAGCCCAAGGAAGACAGACCACAGGCAAGGAGGACCACCGGAAAGGAAGACCACCGGAAAGGAAGACCACCGGAAAGGAAGACCACAGGCAAGGAGGACCACCGGAAAGGAAGACCACAGGCAAGGAGGACCACAGGCAAGGAGGACCACCGGAAAGGAAGACCACCGGCAAGGAGGACCACCGGCAAGGAGGACCACCAGGAAGGAGGACCACCAGGAAGGAGGACCACCAGGAAGGAGGACCACCAGGAAGGAGGACCACCAGGAAGGAGGACCACCAGGAAGGAGAACCACCAGGAAGGAGGACCACCGGCAAGGAGGACCACCGGCAAGGAGGACCACCAGGAAGGAGAACCACCAGGAAGGAGGACCACCGGCAAGGAGGACCACCAGGAAGGAGAACCACCAGGAAGGAGGACCACCAGGAAGGAGGACCACCAGGAAGGAGGACCACTGGCAAGGAAGACCACCGGCAAGGCTGCAAGGGGCACGTGCATCTCCAACAAGACAAAATAAACAAGCCAGAGAGGGCTTGTCACCAGCGTGGCATTTGTCACCATGTCCCATGCAGGGCCAACGGGAGGCCCAGTGAAGCTCCTGGCGGATGGCAAAAACCCACTGACCACCTGGCATCACCAAGGCCGCCTCCTGAGCCCCACCTCCAGATGGGTGCAACCCAGCCACCGGGGAGCAGGATTCGGGGCTGAGTCTGCAATGAGGGGGCCAGGTCACTACGAGGCAGTGACTCAAGAGTGCCCAGGAGCAGCCACGCTGCAAGACCGGCGTGGCCCAGGCTGCTGAGAAGCAGCACCAGCCCCTCGGGCCCCCGTTTGCAGAGACGGCCAAGCACACATCACAGCGCACGGGGACATCCCCAGATGTAGTCACTTTTTACCATGGTTGCATAAGTGCAGATTAGAAGCCAGTGAGACTCGGGAGTACAGGAGGCTGAAGTGGGAATGAAACGTGGCCTCGAGATCATCCCTGTGCAGATGGGTCTTTGGGGGGCTGCCCATACTGGGGGCAGGCTGCCTGTATGGGCGCGGTCTGGGCGGGAGCGTCCCTGAGGGCAGAGCCAGAGCCTCCTCAGGCATCTCCTCCGGCCACTCAGCCACTGGCTGCTCCAGGGGCACAGATGGAGCCCAGCTTCTCCCCAGGCCCAGGAAGCAGGGGTCACACCAACCTTGCTGGACCCACTGGGTCCACCCGGCCTGCCAGTTCCTGTGAAAGCAGGAAGGCCACTCGGGCCAGCCTGGCACCCGTTCCCCGGCCACTCGGCATGTCCAGGTCAGGCCAGGCCAGTGCCCAAGGGGGACTGTCCAGCCCAGCCTCCAGCCCTTCCTGTGTCATGGGTCCCGGCTGAGGGCTCCTGCTGTAGGTGCCCAGCCCCCTGCTAGTGCCCTGCTCCAGGGTCTCTGCCATCTGCTCCAAGGCAGCTGGATGCCTGCACAAGGTCCCAGTGTCTGGACGGCAGGACACACCCTTGTCCCATCCTCAGCCTCACAGGGGCCGGGCACTGAGCAGGGCCTTACGGGGACTGATAGGAGTCCCCCCGCCCCAGGCAGCCCGGTGTCCTGCCCTGAGTCCCCACCCAGCCGGCCACCTTCCCTGTGCTGTCAGAGCTCCCGAGGACAGGCCTGGGTGCCCACAGTGACGGCATGGCCCACCCCCACTCACACACACAGCCTGGGGCCAGTCAGCCCTGCAGGGATGCACCAGTGAGCCCAGCGCCCACCAGCCCCTTGCCTGTGCGGCCTCCTTGGTGCCTGAGGCCCGCACGTTGCTCTCTGCCCTCCCTACCACCCGCCCGGTGGACAGCATGGGCCGGGTGGCCATCAGTGCTATGCTGGCAAATGCTTTTTTTTTTTTTTTTTCAGGTCTAAAACAGAAAAGAAAGCAGCCTGCCCATTAGGCAAGAGGAAAGATCATCCAAGGGCTGGGAGCCGCTCCCAGCACGCGCCTCCTGGGACCGGGATGGTTCATGTTCCACACGAGGCTGTGGGTACCAGGGTGCAGCCAGGACTCGGGGTGAGCCACCTTCGCCTTTGGGGAACTTGTGACTGCCCTGTGGTCAGACACTGAGGAAACCGCTTCCTTCAGGGAGTCCTCCCTGACTGCCTGCAGGTCGCTGTTGGGCCCCTGAGAGGCAGGAGGCCATCCAGCAGCTCAGCCGCTCCCCCAGGGTGGGTGCGGCCCCGTCCCGCAACACACAGGCCCCATCTCAGCAGATCTCAGAACCCAAGGAGCGTCCCGGGAGGAAGGCCAGGAGACATTGGGGAGCAGGCGGCTGGGGAACCCTGGCGAGAAGCTGCAGTGGCAGGAAGCTGAGGCAGAGGGCACTCAGCCCCTTGTGATCACGGCCACGAGGCCACTGGGAGCATGCAGCCCCCCAGCCCCTGGCCACTCACAGGTCCCAGCCATGGCTGGAAAGGCCCCTGAAGCCCAGCAGGGAGGGTAGGAGAGGTCCCCACTGAGTGGAGGGCGGGCCAGCCCAGCGTGGCCAGGCAGGCCCAGGCCTCATTCCTGTCCTTGCTGATGGACGGAGCTGCCAGCTGGTCAGTTCACATCTCAGCCCACCTGAGAGAGCCCTGGGTACCCCCCAGCCCCAGGCCATCCTGCACAAGGGCTGGCCAGTGTGAGAAGACCACCAGGGCCGGACCCAAAGCCACCACCGCCACACCAGGCGCCTGAGGACTGGAGCCCCGGGGGGTTCTGGAGGTAGGTGGCTCTTGCCCCTTTGAAAATGGAGATGACAGGTAGGGGCCCTGGCTGGACAGAGAGGACCTGCCTAAGGCCTAGAGGAGGTGCGGATCGCCCCTCACAGTGCCAGAGTCATGGTGTGAACCTGGGGTCCCTTCCCACCTGGAAGCCCCTTGTGGCTGTGAGACCTGCTCTCCGCAGACCCAGCACGGGCCCCTCCGCTGGCCCTAGAAGGGGCAGAAAAAGGTCCTACCAAGTGGGCCCATTCTCTCAGGAAGGGTGGGCACCTCCCACCAAGAGCCCTGGACAAACCAAGTCCAGAGGAAGGCCCAGCTCCCTGGCTTCAGAGGGGGAAACTGAGGCCCAAGGAGGGCGGCTCCCTCAAGTTACAGCCATGGCAGGAAGCCGACGGAGGCCGCGTCTCACCAGCTCCAGCAGCTCCCCCATGTCCCCCAACCCCAAGGGGTCGACGGGTCTGCCGGGGGCGGGGGCTGCACAGGACGAGCCACCCCGGTGACCTCACGCGTCCCCAGAAGCACCGGCAGCGGTGACAGTGACGGTGACAACTGAGTCACCACCTGCAGCTTTTTAAGGCACAGCTGAGAGCAAGGGGCAATTTAAGTCTTTTTGACGAGCCCCAGAGCGCGTGGCTAGAGCGCCACCCGCCCCCCAGGGCCGCCCCGCCTCCCAAGCTGGGCTGGAGCCCCTCCAAGACCCTGCGGGGCTCAGCGGCCATGAGGTCAGGTAGGAGCCAGCGCCCAGGGGACGAACTGGGGGGGCTGCGCTCGGAAGCCAGGGGAGGCCTAAATCCGACAAAGGCCCGGGAGAAACTGCCCACCAGGTGATCTGGTGCTGGCGGCTTGGTAACCCTGATAGCCCTGTGACAGGCCCAAGGGACAAGCTGGGCCTCCCCTCTGGGCTCCGCATCCCAAACGGCATCAACACCGCCACCCACAGCCAATGCTGCCCCAGGCGACGCTGTTTCCTTACAAACACGGAATCTAATAATTGCAATATTGCCAAGCCCAAAATAACCCACAGTGCACCACTTGCCGAGCTCCTACCAGAGAATGGAAGTGAGTCAAACACAGCTGCAAAGCCGCTTTAAAAATACACTTAAACACACGAGCACACAGGCACACACACGCACACAGCCCGCCCGCGGGATGCTCACCTCCACCCACGGCACGGCTCAACAGGTATGGAGGGTGAAGACCGGGGCACGGCCGGGGAGGGAGGCCCTGCAGGGGGGTGGAGGGCCCGAGGGGCTCCCGGTGGCCATACTCCCCGAACTGGGCCCTCTCACACCTGCAGCAGGTGCGCTTTGCCACCTGGGAGCCTCCCGCCTCCATCTGCAGCAAAGGCCCTGGGGCCGCTCCTCTGAAGCTTCTGACTGCTCCTGCCCCCGCCTGACCCCCAGGACCCCAGGGAACAAGCGTCGGCATCCCCCACAGGCAGCTGCTCCAGCTATGGTGGCCACAGAGCATCCTTCACACTCACTGAGTCTAACTCCACCTGCAGGAAGGCGGGCTGCCAGCCTCCCTGCGCCCCCAGTAGGCCCTTCTCTGGGGACCCTGTGCCCCTACGTGCTCTCCCTGAGGGGTGTCTCCCAACCTAGCACAGGCCCTGGGAACAGTGGGTGAACCGCCAAATTTGGGGACCCACACCGAGGGATGCAGAGGGGGCCTGGCAGGGCCGAGGGTCCTCCTGCCCCGACACCTTGGTGCTCAGGCCAGGCCGGGGAACAGGGACCTGCCGGGCCTCTGGGCAGCACCCAGCCTAGACTGGCCATCACGCAGCCAACGTCCAGTTCCAGGTGCCCGCCCGTCCTAGCTCCCACAGCCGAGGGTCCCATGCCCGGGCTAAGCCTGCAGATGGGTCGGCTGAGTTCCTATCTCAGAAAAGAGCATGGTCTCAAGGGTAAGGGGAGAGCCAGGTCCCGGCTCCGCTGGGGGCTCAGCATCATGGGGGTCTGGCCCATGGAGGCTTCAGGGAGGAGCAGAGCCTTCTGGAGCAGGTGGGGGTCAGAGCACAGCTGGGCGCATGTGCTCAGGCCACATGGGGGGCCGAGGCCTGGCTGCCCCCAGGCAGGGAGGGTCCAGCCTGGACAACAGGTTTCTGGGGGTGACGCACACTCCACTGGTGACAGTGAGAGGGCTCCAAGGGGCTCCTGAGCCGCGAGCCACCTGCTCTGTCTCACCCACACTGCCACTGAGCCCCAAACCTGGCCAAGGACATAGTGCACAGACCTTCGGAGACAGGCCCTGCCCCAACAGCCCTGCAAGGGCCAGGACACCGAGGGGCCGAGCCAGGGCGCTGCTCTCAGGGAAGCCACCATTCCCGGTTTATCCCAGACCCTGGGGGCCCCTGGGGAAGCCACTGGGGCTCAGGTCCTGGCCCCTCCCCACTCGGAGGCCTCACCTGGGAGGGGGCTCCAGAGGCCCTGCAGGGTCCCAGGCAGGAAGGCCTGGGGTCCACCATCAGGCCACCCCTACCAAGTAAAGGGACACGGTCCACTCGGTGCATTGCTGGTTCAGCCCCTGGGGAGTAGCAGGTCCATGGCCTTGAGCCTCCACAGACCATCCTCCCGGAGGGGACCACACCACATCATGTCACATCAAGCATGTCACGTGGTGCCGCCTCCTGCCATACCACACCATCAACCCCTTCCTGAGCAAGGGCCTGCACTTCCAAGGGTCCTGCAGAGGCAGCCCTAAGACCCTGTCTCGGGGCTGCCTGGGGATCCCCACGTGTCAGGGTGAGTCGGGCATGGTGGGCGGGGCACTGGCCATCGGGGAACTGGAGGGCCCAGGCCCAGGTCACCTCCAGTGCTGCAGGGCAGGAAGGGAACAGGCAGTTCCTGCCCTAGGAGCTCAGCCAGGTGAGCCAGGACATGCCCCGGGGAGGCCAAACACCCAGCCCGGACTGCTGGAGAGGCCAGGTGGCCCTCATGGCTATGCCCACAGTGGGCACCCATAGGTGGGTGACAGACTCGGGGTGGGGGTGGCTTGCGGCACCCCCGGAACCCCACTACCAGCCTTGGCTCTCAGAGGCCCCCACACACTCGGCTCTCAGAGGCCCCCACACACTCGGCTCTCAGAGGCCCCCACACTGGCTGGGGCCTGCCCTCTTTCCCCCACCCCACTCGGCAGGCGCAGGCCAGGCCCCTCCAGCAGCCCCCGCCACCGTTGCCCAAAGTCCTGGGGACCCTGGAAGCCATAGCAGCCCTCCCCACCGGGAGACGGGGACAGGCACCAGGCTGGACCCAGGGCTGGCATCTGCTGGAGTCAGGAGAGGGTGTCCAGGGGCTGCACACAGGAACAAGGACCCCAGAAAGAGGCAGCAGAGAGCAGGCACTGGGGTGCACTTTCCTCTGCTGGGAGGATGGGGCTCTGCTCCACAGGGGGTGGAAGGAAGGGGTGGTGGAGGGTCCTGCCCCTGCCAGAGGGGGGTGGCCCTGGGCAATGGGGAGGGCAAAGGCCACAGGGCCCTGTGAAGACACTGGCCCTGGACACGTGAAGGAGGTCCTGTGAGCCCCGTGTCTCAGCCCAGATCACTGTCAGCATTCCGGGGCCAGTGGCCCCCTTCTCCAGGCTGGGGAGGGCCTGCGGTGTGCACAGACGCTCCCAGTGAGCCCTCCAGATAGGACAAGGGCCTCCCCTGCACCGCCTGCCATCCCCAGCTTCAATGTCCTCATCTTTGCAATGGGCGATAACAGGGCGGACTGGAAACATATGCCTCAGGGGTCTTCACCTCCCAAGCAGCACCACACGGGGAAGGGCCCCAGGGAGCACGGCGCCCACAGACCACATCTCGAGCACAGTGGGGGCACTGGCGCTGTCGGGGGGCAGACTTGCGTTTTGGCAAATTGTCCCGGCTGCCCCACTGGAAGATCGGGGGACAGGCAGGAGGCTTGTAGCACGGTGGGGGATGGGCGGCCCAGGCCTGGGTGGAGGTGGTGAGGAGTCCCAGCTCTGAGAGCACTGAGGGGGCGCCCCGACCAGGAATGGATCCACGGGGAAGGGCGGGGTGAGCCAGGACTCTGAGAGCACTGAGGGGCGCCCCCACCGGGAATGGATCCATGGGAAGGGGTGGGGTGAGCCGGGACTTCCCGCCTGAGAAGCCAGGACCAGGTGCCAACAGGCACCCTTCCTCCAGGCTGTCCTCCTCTAGGCTCTGCTGAGCTCCGGGCAACAAAGGCACTGCCTTTGTTGTGTACTTGCTGCACCCGGGGCCAGGCCCAGCGGCGGTCAGCTGAGGACAGCGACTGGCCAAGCTCCAGGCCCTCCCAGGACCAAGGCTGACTGGGTGGCCAGGCGCCCCAGAAGGGAGGTTCATGCCCAGCCTCTGGTTGGGGAACCCTAGGCTAGCATCCCCTGTCCCCAGGGCCTGTGAATTATTTAAGCCCCTCCCTGGGCCCATCTGCTGCTCTCTGGGGCAGCTTGGGGTGGAGTGAACGGTGCATTTGCTCCCCGAATGCCTGCAAGGCGCCGCTGGAGGGAGGTGGACCCCACCTCAGCACCAGCCCTCACCTCCTGCTGCTCACGGTGGCCGCTCCCAAAGGCCAGAGGGGCTGGGGCAGGGAACAGGCAGGGAGGGCCAGGGCAGGAGGGAGAGCAGGAGGCAGGATCAAGGGCTCCCATCCCCACCAGATAGGCCCCCCTCCACGGGGCTCACTCCAGGACGGCAGCTGCTGCCTTTCAGCCAAGATGAAATACTTCCACGGGGCTGCTACCTGCCAGGCAGGGCCGGGGGATGGGGGGCGGCAGGGGGACCCAGGCCTCAGCGGCTTCTGGAGAACCTCCGGATTGCTCCCTGAAGCTCCAGCATCCTGGGTCGTGCGGCCCAGCTGCACTCAGCCTCCACCGTCCTTCTGCACACCTGGCTGCACACGGCGGCCACCGTGGTTCCAGGCTCAGCAATGCAGTGGGGGCTGCCCGCTGCCCCTACCAGCAAGGGAGCCTCGGGCCAGAGGGAGGGGGCGCCTTCCCGTGCACTGCCAAAGCTCGGGGCCCAGACGGAAGTCTCTGCTCAGCCTCCTCCGACAGGCCCACGGCAGAGCAGACCTCACTTCACAGGGTTGGCATTTCTGAAGGATGACAAAGATCCCGGGGCTCAGAACGTGTTTTCTGTGCAAACAGACACTTCCCCACCAGCATGCCGATGACAGGCATCCGTGACAGCTCAGCCTGAATCACAGTCCCCCCACCACCACCCACCGCCCCCCCGGCAGCCCAGACGCAGTGGGGGCAGGGCTGGGGCCAAGAGCACGTTAGGGTCCCAGGCCGGTGGGGCCAACTCGCTGCCCAGCCCCCAGGGAGGGGTCCCATTGGCCTGTCCTGCCCCCATTACCAGGGCTGTGGTCTGGGGGAAGGGCTCCCTGCTGCCAACGGTGGCTGACCCTCTGAGGGGTCAGAGCCCCCGAGAGCCCCCAGCCCACCCATGGCGCAGACTCCCACAGGGCTGCCCTCCACGGTGATAGGACATGTTGGTGGGTCGCGGCTCTCTGGCCTCACGGTGGCCCTTGGAGCCAGTTCCTGGGGCTGGAGTAGAGGGGCTTCCTCCAGAAGCCCTACTGGGGCTGCCAGGGGTTAGCTGGGCAGCACTGATCAGTCCAGAGGGGCGGCACTGATCTGTACAGCCCAGAAACGCACCTCCATCAGCCACATTCTCCGCGACAATCTCTGCCTGTCACTGCTAGTGGCATCCCTCGGAGACGCTACTGCGTATGATCTTCGGGGGCCGGGGAGGCACACACATCTCTGGCCCCAGACCCCACAATCGGGACACGAGGCAAGCCCACCACCGCCTGCCTTGGCTGGGAGGGGGAGGGCCCTGGGGAGTGGAGAAGCGCCCGGCACCTTGTTGACGTGGACACCAGCAACAGGCCTCCCTCCTGGAGCGCACTCGGCCCAGCTGCTGGCCTGGACCCCAGGCCCTGCCCCAAATTGCACCTCAAGTCCTATTTCCAGACAGCGTGTGCTGGGTGGCCGAGCCACAGCCCCTATGGCAGGGCCAGGGCCAGGGCTGTGTCCTGGGAGCCGACATCCCTAGCACAGGCGGGGGTCCCACTGCCGAGCTGTCCCTCCTTCTCTACAAGTCACCTGCTCACCCTCACAACCACTGTCACCCCCTTTTCACAGATGAGGAAACTGAGACCCAGAGACACAGGTATGTCCCCAAAACCCACAGTCCAGCAACTGGTGGGCGGACAGGTGGGGATTTGAGCCCAGGCTGGGGTCCCACGTGCTTGGCCTTGAACGCGCCTGGTCCAAGGGTCTGGAACCTGGGATGCAACAGTCAGCAGGCGGGGAGCGGGGGGTAGGCGGGGAGCGGGGGGCAGGCGGGGAGCGGGGGGGCAGGCGGGGAGAGGGGGGTAGGCGGGGAGCAGGGGGGCAGACAGGGAGCGGGGGGCAGGGGGGGAGTTGGAGTTGGAGGGCAGGCCGAGTGGGGGGCAGGTGGGGAGTGAGGGGGAAGGTGGGGAGTTAGGGGGCAGGTGGGGAATTGGGGGGCAAGCGGGGAGTGGGGCCAGGCAGGGAGTTGGGGGCAGGCTGTATAGGGCGCAGGCTGAATAGGGAGGCAGGCCGAGTTGGGGGCACTTGGTAACGAGCTCCTTTTCTGTGTTCTGAATGCCGCGGGAAACATCCCAGACGGCCCAGCCCATCTTCACTTCATGTAGAGCAGAGGCTCTGAAAAGTGGGGCACGTCCTGGTGAGCTAACGAGGCACCCAGAGGACCGGCCGCCTGTGCTGGAGGCCCACGGGGAGGGAGGGAATGGCTGGGTGTTTGAACCAGCTCTCGAAGGATCACATTTTGCAGACAAAAACCAAACTCCCTCCTGGGAGGAGGTGCCCGATATCTGCCCCCCCGTCGAGGCCCAGCCAAGAAGGGGACAGCAACGGATGAAGCCACCTCTGCCCAGGGTGCCTGTTCCTGGACAAGCCTCAGGGGACGGGCCCAGCTGGGAGGGGCCGGGGCTCCTTGAGGTGGCTCAGGAGACCCCAGGGGAGCCAGGGAGACACTGTATGCAGAGAAACAGCTTCATTCACCCACTTCCCCAGGGCTGAGCTTGGCGGCGGCAGCCCAGTCCGAGGCCAGCCTCCCACTTATGCATCAAAGACAACTGCAGCTACAGCTGCAACTCAGTTCTGAGGGCTGTTGGTTCCCCAGAGAATGACTGAGTTCCAGGGAGCGTCACGGAGCAGGGGCAGGACGGGGCGAGGCTGGGGCAGCCACTGTCCCTGAGAGGTGGCTAGGCAGAGCTTACAGGCAGCCACACAGCCCTGCCCATAACATACTACTGCTGGCTCATCTCAGCAGTGAGTCCATTGCCCAAGGCCACACAGTTGCAGATTTGGGATCCAAGTCTGCCCAGCTCCAGAGCCATGTCCTCCACCCCAGTGACACCACCTGGGCAGAGCTGCCCCACCCAGGCCAGGCAGAGGCTGCTGCAGACCTGGTCCCCCACCTCACCTGACACCACTCCCTCAAGTGTGGGCCTTGACACCCTGGTTTGCTGGTTGGTTGGTTGGTTGGTTGGTTGGTTGGTTGGTTTTGTTGAGACAGAGTCTCACTATGTCACCCAGGCTGGAGTGCAGTAGCACCATCTCAGCTCACTGCAACCTCTGCCACCTCCCAGGTTCAAGCGATTCTCCTGCCTCAGCCTCCCAAGTAGCTGGGATTGCAGGTGCTTGCCACCACACACAGATAAATTTTTGTATTTTGAGTAGAGACAGGGTTTCACCATGTTGCCCAGGCTGGTCTCGAACTCCTGATCTCAGGTGATCCACCCGCCTCAGCCTCCCAAAGTGCTGGGATTACAGGCATGAGCCACCGTGGCTGGCCAGACGCCCCAGTTTAAAACATGTATTTCTACTGAAATAGCTCCAACCTCTGGGTGGTGGGGGGCGGGGGGTGGGGGTGCTGAATCTGCATTTTCCTCCGTCCAGGGGGATGTGAAGCTGCTACAGCTCCGACCAGGACTCCCAGACCCATCTGAGCCTCCTCAGAGCAGCTGGTGGGGCCTGGAGCCTGCAGAGCCACTGATCCTGGGATGCGTTCCAGGGCCCAAGCCCACGGCCCTTTCCCCGCGCCAGCAAAGGAGCCACGTACAACAGTTTGACGAAACGAGCATTCTGGAGGCCCCAGGTGCCTTCCGGGGCAGCAGTGATGTGACTTGTGGTTGGGAACCAGGAGCAGCCGCTCCCTAAGAATGGAGTGAGGCCCGTCCAGGCCTCCAGTAC